>NC_000006.12:159313214-159464729 GCF_000001405.40 Homo sapiens
TTAACCAGAAGGGGCCACCAGGCCAGCAAAGGCGAGATGCCCATGTGATATGGGGGCTGGGAGGTGGGGACCAGTACGGAAGGAAATAAGACCCTAAGCCATGGAAGAAACCTCCTTGCCGGAGATTACAGATGATTTTATAAGCAGAGGCAATCTTCTGTCTGGTCAGAGAGCAGAGAAGAAAACATATTTACCTTGTGGCCTTACTAAGGGAAAGAACGGCAACCCTGTGACTGCAGGGAGCTTCAAAATACTTATGAACAGAGCTCCTAGGGTCTTCCCTGAAAAGAGAAAACAGATCTTCCTGTGTTTTCTTGTTCACAGATGTGTGTGCCTGAGTTGTGCTGATTCCTAGTGGCTTGTGGTTAAGTGTGAGTTAAAGGATGCTTGTGTCAGAGTTGGAAATCGTGTCCCATCATTGGAATAACGGGTTGTCATCTTTTGAATCATTGCCTCCATATTCCTGTTGTTTTTACTGTTTTTCCTTCACTAATTAATCTCACTTTTTTTTTTTTTTTTTTTTTTTTTTTGAGATAGAGTCTCACCCTGTTGCCCAGGCTGGAATGCAATGGTGCAATCTCGGCTCACTGCAACCTCCGCCTCCCGGGTACAAACGATTCTCCTGCCTCAGCCTCCCGAGTAGCTGGGATTATAGGCACCCGCCACCACGCCCAGCTAATTTTTGTATTTTTAGTAGAGACGGAGTTTCACCCTGTTGGTCAGGCTGATCTCAAACTCCTGACCTCGTGATCCGCCCACCTTGGCCTCCCAAAGTGCTGGGATTACAGGCGTGAGCCCACTTTTATTCTCTTGTCCCATGTTCTGGGGAGGAGGGAGGAAAAGAAAGACCATGTTACTGGAGGGGTCTACACGAGCTTGGGGAGACTCTACCTGGTAAGGGGCACCCGTGGGCTGAATGAAGCCCACCCAGCTCTGCTGAGCCTTGAGCCTGGCATGGAGCTGCTGGCAGCCTTTTTCTCATTCATCCACACAGATGTGATGCATTGAATCCATCCACTGCAGGGGACAGGTTTCCCTCATTCCACGAAGATGCTGCGTGTGCTGGGCTGGCCCTGGTCTTGGGTCATGAGGGCCCCCAGATGCTGGCTAGGCTGGACCTGGAATGTGGCTCTGAGCACAGAAGGGGTGAGGACAGACCAGCACTGATGTGCCAGGTGAACTGTTCCCATTGGATCTGCCCAGTAGGGCCATGGTTCAGCAAGGGAGGCTATGCCCTCTTGGTGTCAGAGGTGCACACACCTGTGCGTCCCTGTGTGCATGTGGACACATGTGGCTCTGTGGAGTCTGTATGAGGCTGCAAATGTCATAAATGGTCAGCTGAGGATGATGCTAGGGAAGATGGTCCCAGAATTGGGAGGAATGGATAAGGAACAAGCAGGGATGGAGCAGGGATGGGGTGCCCAAAAGCAGGGCACAGATTCTGAATTCTGTAAATGGGATAGAGGTGCAGCAGGGGTGAGTCCCTGTCTTCACGTTCTGCCCGGTGCTGCCCTGAGGCCTGTGGGAACGAATGGGAAGCTGGCCCCTGGAGACCCTGACCTAGTTGCGAAGAACAGTGGCTCTGAACACAGGATAAGCTGGGAAGAGCCCTACAACTAGACAAGAGAGACACAGGTTCTAATCCCAGCTCTGCCACTAAATTGCTGTGTGACCCCCTCCCCACCGTAAGTGGTTAACTTCTATGGGCCACGATTTCCTAATCTGTGAAATCAGGAAGGTTGGCTAGATGGCTTTACAGTTGTTGTTGTTTTTTTTTTTCATCCTGAAATACTGTGGTTTTAGAAGAAGAATGAATGGAATTGTGCAGCTATAATAACATAAAAAAGATTCCAGCTCCCTGGAATCTTCCTGTGTACCTCAGGTACTGCGCCCAAAAGCCCAGGCCTTCTTTCCTTGCCTGTTCTTGTTTCCGTGGATTTGAACCAACGTGCCCCTGCCTCCCTGAGCTCAGGGTGTGTGTCCAGCGTATGCTGAAAATTCAGGTGCTCCTGTCCCTGGGAGCGTCGTGGGGCTGTGGGGGTGGGCGCATCACGGGAGCTCCTGCCTGGAAGGAGCTCCCCAGGGCATTGAGCCCACCGGGCCAAAGCAGCAAGGAACCGGAAAAACCGCGAAGGATCTCCATGCAGAAACAACAACATCAGGCTTCCGCCTTGTTCCTGGTGAAGAGTTACCTCCTGCCCGGATGCTCCCTAGAGAAATAGGACTGGACAGGCGACAGTGCTAGCAGGGCCACAGGCATGTTGGTGGCAAACAGAGCATCCTAGGTTCTTACAGCTGGTGGTAGAAGAGGGTCAGAGTCACAGGAACAATCTAGGGACAGTGACTTTTCCCTCCTTCTGGGCCTTCCGGGAGCTCACAAGCCAGTCCCGGAGGCTCCCTGTGGCCGCTTTACGGGATTGGCCTTCCCAGGATCCCCTGGCAGGCGCGGCAGCCTCGCACCCGGGAGCACAGCTGGAAGGAGCGGGGGGGAGGGGCTGCCAAGCTGCTGCACCCCCAAATCCCTCAGCGCCCGCGCCCTGTCCTAGGCAGGGCCTTCCCTCTCCCTCCCCGCAGGGCGCAGAAGGGCTGGGCCTTCTCCTCCTCGCACTCGCCCTGGACTCGCCCGATCCTGATCCTGATCCTCTCCCACGGGGAGGCCGGGGCTGCGCGTGGTGACCACAGGTGGGCCGCCCCTTCCCTCCTCTCCGCCCCGCTTTCTTGTATGCGACTGTCATCCTCTGCCATTCTAGAGCTCTCTGACTTCAGTCATCGACAACGTCCCCACCCCAGGGGATACAGAGACAACATTTCCCTCCCCCTGCAAGGGACCTTCTTTATTGCGTTCCCAATGGCCTCCATGTGGTTGACTCCAGAAGGACAGACCACGTCTGCAATGGGCATTTTACACTCACCGGGAGTCAGCACGTCCCTGGCCAGGTCAGGAGGCTGCAGCCCGTGACATGGTTCAGCCGCCCTCTGTAAGGCCTCCTGACCTCAGAGCGGGTGACCGCACGTGGCCTTGCAGTGCAGATAGCTCCACTGTCAAATGCACACAGGTAACCCCGGCCCCTTCCTGGACTCTGGGAGGTTTCCAGCGGCCAATGTCTTACCTGTCCAGAGGGCCTAGTGCGGTTTAGGGCACATACCGGCCATTCCTATCCAGCTTTTCAAGAACCATAAAGCAAACCAACCAGCGGTTGTGCTGTTACTTCGTAAATACACACGTGAAGGCATTTAGGTAACGGAGCTTTATGTGAACTGTGTTTTCATATTGAATATGAGATATTGAAATAGGAGAAAGCTAAAACCGGTGTTTTAACTTTTAAAAACATTAAGTAATTGACAAAGCCCATTTAATAAGAGCTATTCCCAGGCAAAAATGTTGATTGTAGCCCTTGTAAAAGGGCTTAAGATTGTCCAGACTAACATAAACCTGGGAAAGCTCGCATTTGGAATAAGTGAATTTCTTCTAGAGATGTAATTTCCATTCATATTTGATCTGGAAACCTAGCTGTTTGTTATTAACTGCCTAAAGAAATTATGATTCCTTGCTATCTTTGATTTATGAGGATTTTGTTAAAGACTATCAAGGGAAAATCAACCACAGTCATCTGACAAAAATGAAAGCCTGCATCTCTAGGAATGATTTTCTCTTGAGATGGACCCTAAGTCAGAATCATTGGTTTCTGTCACCAGTGATCACATAAACAATAGCAGTATCTCAAAGACTTCACTTCCTCCCAGACTTAGCCTTTGGGGCATCATTGATATTGCACATAATGGGCAAGTGTTTCCCAAACACTGAGCAGTGGTTCAGTGTTGGGAGCAGAGCAAGGGGTCCATAAATCCATAGGGACGATAAATGCTGCTGATGATATTTTCATGTGTATGTAGATGCTGTTGGGATGAGTGAAATACAAACTAACTTAACAGTGTTGTTCTTTGACATAGATCCATTTCTGACTCAATGGGGTATATGGGTGGGGGCAGACAGGGATTTCCTGAAATGCGTTTTGTGTTATCAAGTTGGGAATCACACCAGTAAAACTTCCACTTCAGGTCTTTAAGTCAAATAGTCATTCTTCTTAGTTCTAATTTTAGAACTTTTGCTGTATTCTCTATAGCATTATTCACTACGTAGAGAACTTATCCCAAATTGGGTCCTTCTCATCAAAGTATTTTTGAAAGTACTCAAAACCTCAATATGTCTCTGTTTTACCCCAAAGATGAGTCTTTAGTGAGATTTCCACAAGGTATCATTTTATTTATTGCTGATTTATGCTTTCTCCTGCCAACCACTTCAATTCATGTCTGGAGTAATCGAATGAATACTGAGTTGGTTTCAGTGAGGTTTATGAATTGGTATTTCGGTTAGGGGAAAGGATTGGCCACAAGCAATCTGAGTGTAGTTCCACCTCATGTTATCCATCAGCTTTGTTCAATTAAGTGGCTAAATCGTTTAACCAGATGGGTGTGACACATGGCACAAAGCTCAGCATGAGTTACCAGAGAGCCACTCTGCTGGGTGCCTTTGGTGGTGCCACGACCGTGGTCTCAAGGAGGGTGGTAACCCATCGGATTCAACCACTTCGGTTGACACAGACATTAAGGGGCAAAAGCAGGATGGAGGAGGCAATGAGTGAGAGCTGAGCTGTGACAAAGTATATCTAGAATCGCTGAAGAAGGTTCCAACACAGAGCAGTCCAAGGCCACCAGCAGCAACCACAGAAGGAGGGAAACACACACTGCCACTGCCAGCAGATCTCCCAGACTTCAGTAAAGGGACTGCTCTGGGCGTCTAATGCAATAAAAAGTCTACCCCAAGTAGATTCCTTGTTAGTCTTCGTGATTGTTTCCATGTTCCAGCCTCTCATTCTTTCTTTTTAGATTTAAAAGTAAAGCACCCATCCAAGACCCTGCCCCATACCTCTCTAGGACTGGCCTGCGTGAACATCCACTCCTAGAAACTGGTGCATTTTGTGGGCAGGGAAGGAAGGTTGACTTGGATACTGTTGAACAACAGGACAACAGGAATTGTATGTTTTCCTGCTGGAATAATACTTCTGCCTTCTCAGACAAGGGTCTCCATAAGGCCTCACCCACTGTTTGATCTTTTCTCTTCTCTTTGGATTTGAAATGGATGATCCAGATTGGCCGTATGAACATCATACTCTGGAAGGCTGAGTTGGAAGATAGCTGGGTCCTGATGCCTCATTAAGTCAAACACATGTTCTGAGCAGTTAAAACACCCTTGGAGACAGTATGTTTACACTCTAACTTCCAACAACAAAAGAAATTGGAGTTACTTAAAGTGGAGGTCTGGGCCTCATTGCAGGCAATATGCATGGGCGTTCTCTGGCAGCTCAGCGTTGTGTTTCTGTTCCTGTCACTTCTCCTAACATAAACCCTCCTCATTTCCAATTTCCTGGACTTCTATGGATGTTTGATCTTCCTAATGGCAGACCATTTACTCCCATTGGAAGTACCTTTCTGGCCTCTCCAATGAGGTGTGCTGAGCATCTGCTACCTGAAACTTCCCTGGCTTGTCTCAGAGACAAGGGAGCCATGCCACCTTCTACAACAGCAAAGCTGATTGCTGGGGTCCTTACAAAGTCATGAGACATTTTCATTCTTCAGCAGGGATAGGAGAGAATCTGCAGCAAATCCAGTTTTTACTGTTCCTATAGGGGCAGGGTTTAACTTTTTAATTTTCCACTTGGAGACAATCCTTATATATACAGAACATTGCCAATACAATTATGTCTCTTCAATTTAGAATTACATGTGCAATTTGTTTTGTTGTGGGTTTTGTCAGCAGTTCTACAAGATAGTGGGTTTAATTTATGATTATAAGGTGAAAAAGATGCATCCAGAATGGGCTCAAATGCTTTCTAAGTGCCCTTAGATTTTGCTATTTTGTGTGTTGAAGGTTGTGTAAAAACTAATTTATTTTCCCATGGTTTTAGATCTTCTCTAAATTCTACAGAAAAAAGGAATCATAGAAAGTCTAAAAAGGGATGAAAATAGCTAATAATTAAGTGGCCCAATTAATTTATAAACACTTCAAACTTGCTTTAAAAATAATAACATACCATCCCATCAAAATCAAATACTGGAAAACTCACCCAAATGCCTTCCAGATTCAACCTCTGAACCTCTGGGCCCCACCTCACCTCACTTCAGAGGGAAAGACTCCTTTTTGCTTGGGAGTTCTGCTTCCAACCGAAATGGAGTAACAGGGACAAGGTTTACCCTCTCACCTGAAACAACTAGAAAACCATGCGAAATATATGAAGCCATTGTTTTCAAGATGCTGGGCATCGGGTAGTGAAAGATAGCAGACCCTGAGAAATAGGAAACAAATGAGGTGAGCCCTGTATTTGCCCTGGCTCACTGCCTTTAAAAAGTTTTCTGGACATAGGACAGGGAGGGGGATCCCAGGTACAGCGTGGTGAAAACCTTGAGTGAAGAGGTTGGAGCTGAGAGTCCAGGAAGGTCAGAGTGGCTGAATCTTACAGTGCAGAGACTAGAGAGGAGAGAGCTCCACGGAGAGAAGCTGAGAGCTCTGCTTGTTAGAGAGTGATTAGCTCATGCATGTGAGAAAAATACAGAAGGCAAGGAAAGGAAACATCCAACAGGATTAGAGAAAACAGTACCTGGGGTTCACACAGGATGAATAATAGTGCTGTTCCACCAGCCAGACAAAAAGTTCATAATTCTGAGGCACTGGGTAGAGTGCTCAGAAGAGTGTTGCCTTGGTTAAAAGGCAGAGGCTGTCAGAATAGATAAAACAGCAAAGCCAGACTGTATGTTACCTTCAAGAAATATGCTTTAAATACACAAATAGGTTATAAGTAAAAGTCTAGAAAAAGACATATCGTGCTGACACTAATCAAGAGAAAGCTGAATATCAAACAAAATTCATTTTAGAAGACTATTACCAGAAATGAAGAGGGCAATTTCATAATGGTAAAAGGCCAAATAATCAAGATGATATAACATCCTAAATGTTTATGCACTTGCTAACAGAGCTTCAAAATACATGAAGAAAAACAAATAGAACTGCAAGAAGAAATAGACAAATCCAAAATTATGCTCAGAGATTTTAGTATCCCTCCTAATAGCACAGAACAAGTGGAGAGAAAAATAAGGAAGACTACAAAAGACTTGAACAACATTGTCAGCCAAATTAACCTTCTTGACAGTTATAGAATGTATCAGCCCCAAACAGCAAAATATACATTCTTTTCAAGGACACACAGAACATACAGACCAAGGTAGACCATTTTTCTCTCCACAAAAAATCTCAACTAATTAAATAGAATTCAAGTAACTGATAGCATATTTTCTGACCACATGGAATTAAATTAGAATCAATAAAGAAACTCATGTGGAAAATCATCAACTATTTGGAAACTAAGCAACACACTTCTAAATAACCAATTGCCCAAGAAGTTATAAAAAGAAATATTAGAAACTACTTTCAACCAAATAAAAGTTAAAATCACATATCAAAATTTGGGGGATACAGATAAATCAGCAAATTGTGGCACTAAAACACCTGTCTTAGAAAAGAAGAATGGTCTCAAATGATCTCAGCTTCTACCTTAAGAAACTAGAGAAAGAAGAGAGCAAATTAAACCCCAAATAAGAAGTCAGGAAATAATTAAGATTAGAGCAGAAATCAATAAAATAGAAATAGGAAAAATATGTAGAAAATCAATAAATGAAAAGTTGGTTCTTTGAGAAGATCAGTAAAGCTGATAAACCCTAACCAGCCTGATAAGAAAAAAAAGACACAAATTCCTAATATCAGGAATGAGAGAGGTGACATCACTACAGCATCTACAGATATTAAGAGGATAATTATGGAATGTTTTCAACAACTTTATGCCAATAAATTTGAAAACTTAGATGAAATAAAGAAATTCTTTGAAAGACACAAATTTCCAAAACTCACTCAAAAACAAATAGAAAACCTGAAAAGCCTTATGTCTTTTAAATACATTAAATTTTTAGTCAAAAACCTCCCCGTGAAGAAAACTACAGACACAGACAGCTTCACTTTTAAATTACACCAAACATTTAAGGAGGAAATAATGCTGGGTCTGCACAAACTGTTCCAGAAAATTGTAGAGAAGGGAACACTTTCAAACTCACTCTATAAACTGGAATCAGACAACACCCTGTGATTCACTTCCAGGGTTCCCATACCTGGGAGTCTTACAGCAAGACAGCGGATGTGCACTTCGCTTTACTCATAGAATGAAAAGCCAATGAGTGGGCTGAGAGGTGAGCTATAGGGAAAGCTGGGCTGAGTGAAGGATGCCGGTTTTATTGCATGACATCTACTTGGTACCTATGACTAGTTGCAGAGGGCTACATGCAGTGAGGCAGCTGTAAAATAGAGCCTTCTGTCAGGAACGCTTGTCTGCTCCCTTTTCAACCAAGAAATGTTCATGGCAGTCAACACGTCATTAAACAGTTCAGGAGCCTGGGTGGATATGGCCTGATACCAGAGAGGGTTTACTCCCTCTCACCAAATAGTTGATACGTACTTGTTATAGTACTCGTCACAAGTGGGCTAAGGTTAGAGGACACAGATTAACAGCTATAAATCCATTGTCATTGGGGAAGAAACGGATATGAGCACTTTTTAGAGCTCACCCTAGTTTGTCCAGGACTTTCCCAGTTTTTGCAGCAAAGGTCTCTTGTTCCCAGAATCCCTTCAATCCAGGATCCAGTCCAGGACAAATGAGAATGTTGTTCACCTTAGAGAATTCTGCATTTACAGGGCTCTCCGTGCAGGAGAAAAGCCCAGGAAGCACCACTATTTGGGATCAGCAGGACCACAAGGTGAGGAATGTGCACCAGGTGATAAAGATGTGGTTAGAGCTCAAACCTAAGACTACAGTGTAGACCCTCATGTCCTATGGAAGAACAACGTTAAATAACAAAGAAATAACCTTCGGTTTGACAGCAATACGAGTCATGGAGACTCTTTTGGCTGAGGACTCAGCATATAATGAAACCAAGCCTTCCCCAGATGCTACTTTACCAATTTTTCTTCTTTCTTTTACTCTAAAAAGAGACAAAGACCTGGGGTTTCTCTCCTCAAGAGATCTACTCTCCCTACTACTGGTGTTGCTGGTCACTTAACACTCTTTTTGAGACGGTGGCCTCTATGGTGGTGATGGGAAGTCATAGTTGACACTACATAATGAAAAGATTCTGACAAGGGTTATCTCTGCTTAGCATTGACTTCCACCCTCTTAGAAGTCTTTCCCATGATGTGCATGTTTTCAGAAAGCGCATGTTCTTATTTTGGATGTTGCTTGTCAACACCATGATGTGATGTTTAAGGGATTCCTCTGGGCCAAACCCCTGGCTCCGCCACTTAGGAACAGTGTGTTCTTGGGCAAGGTTTTTAGCCTCTCCGTGCCTAGATTTCCTCTTCCAAACTGGAGATAATAGCAGGACCTGCCATGTGAGATTGATATGGGGGTTGAGGTCACATTTATAAAGTGCTGTGATGAGACCCCAGTACACAGTGAGCCCTGCTAGACATCCATGAAACTCAACACATCAATTTTAGGAGCTACCTTGAGGCAAGCACATGGCAGAGGCATTTCTCTTCCCCCTAATGGCTCTGGTGCCTTTCAGTTTTTGGTGCTCTTCTATAGCTTTGGGACACTGATGTGTCTTATGGAAACAAGATGTCTTATGGAAATTGCCTGCATGGCAGTAAAGCCCAATGCCTGCCAGCTTCCAAGGGAATGGCATCTGTCTATGTGAGTGCATCTGTTTCATTTTCAGAGAGAAGAGGCTTTAAACTAATCAACAGTACAACTGTATCCCAATGTTGAAACTGTAACTAAACTACATTAGGCCTGAGGCTGCCTCCCTATTGTGGGTTACCCCCTAACTTAATACATAAAGGATCTGACAGCCTAATGTAGGAGGTTGCTTTTCTATTTGGTTGGTATAAAAGTAATTGTGGTTTGGACCATGAATTTTATATCATTATAGCTAGGCTCAAACACATCTTTATTAATCAAAATAGGAACCATTACAATCAACACATTTTTGCCAATGAGAAATAAGTTTGTTTATTCCTGTAGCATAAAAATCCTAGATTAGGGATTCGACAAACTCTTGGAAAGCATTTTCTGCATCCTGCTGGTTGTGGAAGTGTTTTCCCTGCAAAAAGTTGTCAAGATGCTTGAACACATGGTAGACAGTTGGTGAGGGGTCAGATAAATATGGCGGATGAGGGAAAACTTTGTAACCCAATTCGTTCAACTTTTGAAGCGTTGGTTGTGCCACGTGTGGTTGGGCATTGTCATGGAGAAGACCAATGCCCGCTGCAGGCATTGCAGTTTTCCGTGCGTCTCATCGATTTGCAGAGGATACTTCTCAGATGTAATGGGATTCAGAAAGCTGTAGTGGATCAGACTGGCAGCAGGCCACCACACAATGACCATGACCTTTTTTAGTGCAAGTTTGACTTTGAGAAGTGCTTTGGAGCTTCTTCTTGGTTCAACTATGGAGCTAGTCATTGCTGGTTGTTGTATAAAATCCACTTTTCGCTGCATGTCACAATCCGATTGAGAAATGGTTCATTATTGTTGCATAGAATAAGAGAAGACAACACTTCAAAATGACAATTTTTAAAAATTTCCCTCAGCTCGCGAGGCACCCACTTACAGAGCTTTTTCACCTTTCCAATTTGCTTCAAATGCCGAATGACTGTAGAATGGTTGATGTTGAGTTCTTCAGCAACTTCTCGCGTAGTTGTACGAGGATCAGCTTCGATGACTGCTCTCAATGGGTCGTTGTCAACTTCCGTTAGCCAGCCACTACACTCCTCATCTTCAAGGCTCTCATCTCCTTTGCAAAACTTCTTGAACCTCTGCTGCACTGTACATTTGTTAGCAGTTTCTGGACCAAATGCGTTGTTGATGTTCTGACCCATTTTGAACTAGAATAAGAATATTGCTCAAATTTGCTTTTTGGCACGGTGGCTCATGCCTGTAATCCCAGCACTTTGGGAGGCCGAGGCGGGCGGATCATGATGTCAGGAGTTTGAGACCAGCCTGGCCAATATGGTGAGATGCCGTCTCTACTAAAAATACAAAAATTAGCTGGGTGTGGTGGTGTGCACCTGTAGTCCCAGCTACTTGGGAGGCTGAGGCAGAAGAATTGCTTGAACCTGGGAGGTAGAGGTTGCAGTGAGCAGAGATCATGCCACTGCACTACAGCCTGGGTAACAGAACGAGACTCCATCTCAAAAAAACCAAAATTTGCTTTTTGTCTAACATCATTTCCATAGTCTAAAATAAACAGCAAGTCATTAGCAAAAAAATAAATAAATAAATAAAGTGAGAAATGCCCCATCAAAATGATGTACAACATAACATTTATTTAAGAATGTATTCCAATATCAAATGGCAAATTCCAGCAATGCAAAAACTGCAATTACTATTCCACTCAAACAAACCAATAACTGAGTCTCAGGCAATCACAGCAGCCTAGCTTCAGTCAAGCATGGCCTGCTGATCAGACTATGCCCAAATAAGGCTGAGACTGGGCTGTAACCAGCAGAGCTGCCCCATGCCTCACTTCCATGTTCTGTCCACAAATCTGCCTATTCTCAGAGCTGCCCTGTTCGCGAATCATTCTTTGCTCATTAAATTTAATTTGTCCAAAATTCTTCTTTTAACAAAACTTTAATTAAGGGAGTTGTACAGCCTGTGCCAATGTTTAAAAAGTCCCCCAATTTGGAAAAAAAAAAAGCATTAAAAAGTAAAATACAAGAAGTAAAGGAAAATGTCTCCATTCTTTTCTAGTATTTGCTGACTTCACACAGTGCTTCTCACTGGGGACATATCTCTCCAGTGAAG
Organism: Homo sapiens; assembly: GCF_000001405.40. Taxonomy (NCBI): domain Eukaryota; kingdom Metazoa; phylum Chordata; class Mammalia; order Primates; family Hominidae; genus Homo; species Homo sapiens. The sequence goes on from NC_000006.12 coordinate 159,325,118, forward strand.
CAGCTCCTCTGAGCCCGGGCCAGCACAGACATGGCCTTAAAAGAGGCAGCACAGCAAATAGGGCAGGGGTATTTTGAACTTTCCATATCTACACATCACCTTAAAAATGATAAAGTATTTCAGAGTGCAGAATAGAAAAAGAAAAGCTTTTTGGCACAGGGAAAGGATTATATATATGATTTTTTATATGTTTTTAAACTATGTAGCAGGCACTGCAGTCAGCCCCGCGGGTGGGATGGGAGAGCAAACTGACTTTGAAGGATGCCACGTGCTTCAGACCTCCACCGCACCAGGGCTGGGGAACCAGGTACCTGCATAGCCCCTCCCAAAACTTGTTCTGGGCCTGGGGTCCTCGTCTGTCACTGGTCCCTTAGACAACTGTGATGAGAGCAGAAAACACCCTTCTTGTCAACTCCAGGACATGTGAAGTTTCTGCTCGAACCATAGGAAAACATGTCAGTGGGAGGCGAACCTCAAAGTAGCGGGCTCTGGTTCCAGCTTTTGCTGTTTCCGCAGGGGTTTGGTGAGTGTAACTGCACTTCTGCGGGTGCTGCTCTCCGCCAAGAAATACGTGTCCCAGTTCCAGCGTCCAACACAAACTTCCTTAGCTTTGTCTTCTCTCAGATGAGCATTCTTGCCTCAGTAGATGCCGGCCTTGAGGTCCTGGGCCTTTCCTCCAGCAGAATTACTCCAAAAACACAGAAGGCCTATGCTTTCTGACTTGCACTGTCAAAACAGAGTATTAGTGTCCCTACCATGGGATCTGTTGTCCACTTTTGTCCAATGAAACACAGTCCACTTCTATGACCAGCCACTCTCCCATCCACTGTTGCTGACTGGTGCTGTCTCCAGGGTCTGTTTAGATGCTCTGAACACCTCACTTGCGAGGTTGCTCAAGGGAAGAACTTCCAAAGGCATTTCCTGAAAAGTAAAGGAGAATCACTGACTATTGACCTTTTGTTTGATTATTATAACCCCAAATCAATTACTTCTTTGCTGTGCAGCAAACTAATTTAGAATTTGCCTTTTATTAGTAGTGTATTAGAAAAAAGATTAATATTTTTCATTTTATCCTGCTTTATCTCTTGCCAAAAAATAACAAGAGAAGACAAAGAAGGCCACAGCTTCATGAAATAAATTTTCTCTACATAATATGCAGTTATCATTTAAGAGATAATGATATTTTACATGCATATGCAATATTCAACTTCAGCCTATTTTCATTTAATCTTTATAACTATTCTGTGATGTTGAAAGAACAGATAGGATTATCTTTGCCTTGTAAAGGTGACTTGCCTGAAGCCACATGAGGATGCAGTGTCAGAGCCAAGGGAATTTTGTTCTCCCCAGTCCTAGCCCAGTCTGTGTCCATCTGGGGCCCGACAGGTCTCCCTCAGCCCCTATGTCTTCCCATCCCTGCCAGGTATGTAGGGGGTCTTGGTCTTCATCTTCCTGCTCACACTCCCGCACAACGGGGCATCATAGTTAAGCTGTGAGATGTGAGCAACACCAGCGACACCCACAAGGCCTGCTTTTCCTCATTAGCTGGGAACTTGTACCTAGTTCAAGGCCAGCGCTGCCAGCATAATGGGGAGGAACACTGACATCAAATTGAAGCAGGAGCTTAGTGGGAAAGGAGGAGAAGAGGAAGGAGACAGGGGCTCCAAGGGAGGAGAGGGCCTGAAAGCCTCAGAGCCACGGGCAGAGTGAGAGCCGTGTCCAGCCTCCTAGACTGAGTGCTCCCTGATCCGCTTCAGATAAGACCAGCCCTGTAGGTGAGGGACTGGGCCGCTGAGGTCCAGCCAATCAGGTTGCAGAATCACAGGACCCTGGTGGTCATCCAGGCCTGTGGTTCTCAAATATGTCTTCATCAGCAGAACACTCTCCTCAAAATAACTCTTAAGTGCCTCCCACTATGTAAATCAGCTACAAGGAGAGCAGCCTCTGGCCAAGCAAGGGAGAAGCAGAAGGTGCCACCCCCATCCTCTCCTGGTCCCAGTGGCCCCATCCAGCACCAGGGCTCACATTTTGAAAATCATTGAGCTCATCCAACTCCCTGCTTTTACAGATTTGACAGCTGGGCCTACAGCAGCTAGATGGCTTACCAAAGGCCCATTGAATCTTTAAGTGGCAAAGCCAGGGCTCCTGTCCTGAGCCATCTCCAGGCAGAGAGACATGTGGAGACAAAAACCCTAACAATGGTGCTGGAGCTCCTGGAAGTGATTCCTTGTCATGTCACTTAAGAGCTGTGTGACTGTGGACACACAGCTCAAACCCCAGTCCCCACACCCCCTCCCACCAGTCTCAGTTTTCCCACTGGTAGAGGGGAGATGATGTTCACACACGCCTGCCTTGGGAGGGAGCTGAGAGTCCTGAATGAGGTGAGTGTGAGGTGCTGAGCACAGCACCTGGTGTGTCGTCAGCATGGGGGTGTGCTGTTGCTATATACAAATGAGTTTTCTGAGTTGGAAGCTTGACAATAGAAACTTTTGATAAGGTGTTTTGCCATCACAGTGCACATCACAGCCTCAGGGAGACATTCAGGCAAGCCATGTAGAACTCATCGTTATTTTCCCTTTACTCCATGTTACATAGGTTACTCTCAGCATTGCTTTAGTTATCAGTTGCTGTATAACAAACCACCCCAAAACACAGTGGCTCAAAATCACAACATTCCTGTTGCCTGCAAGGCTGTGCTTCAGGGTCTGGGCAGGGTGCAAGAGGGAAGGCTCATCATTCCTCCACATGTGTCGACTGGGGTGGCTCCATCCTCATCTACCTGTCTTCTCTCTTCCCACATGAACTCTCACTAGTCAATGCTCTAGCCTGGGTCTCCAGCTTGGAGCTAACCTCCAACAGGTGAACACGATAGCTGTAAAGCCTCCTGAGGTCTGGGCTCAGAGGTAGCACATTTACTCTTCTGCCGAATCCTGTTGGCCAAAAGTCTGGGCAGCCCAGGTTCCAGGGGAGGGGAAATGGGTTCCACCTCTTGAGGACAGATGCTGCACATGAACACACGATGGAGAACACTGCTGGTGCCCATACTGCACACAAGTCCATCACTGCTCTCTCTGCAGTTATTATGGTTGTCTATTCCACATGTCTTTCTCCTCTGCGTGTGTGCACGTGTTCCCTTTCATGCCAGCATGTGTCCAAGGATTCTCAGAATGCAGCTCACAGACTGACTTGTTTAATATATGTTGATTGAATCAACAAATAAGGAAGTGGATAAATCTCAATTTTTACCTTAACTTTATAAGAACAAGAACAGAGTGTTCACTTAGAAGAAAAACAAAAACCCTCAAAGTCACACTCAGGACTTGGACTTTCTTTTTGATTTTGATACATGTACTTCTCTCTCTGCCATTATGTTTTTAGTGTTTGGGCACTAAAAAGAGGAAAATAGCAGGTCGGGAAGGATTTCAGAAGAAAATACGCCCATCCTTCCCCTGACTGCAGATGGAAGAGGCTCGACTGGAGAATGAATACAGGAATCAGGACTTCGGAGAAGTGCAGGTCGATTCTTGAAAGAAGCTGGACTGGGCTTCACATATACACAGTGAAATCTGAAATTTCCAAAAGTACAAGCTTTGAAGCAAAGCAAAGCTTACACTAAAAGTAAATCCTTCCAACGTCTCCTAGGGAATCTGCCCTTTAGCCTCAAGGCAACGTTCTTGTCTCCAACCATGGTAAATAGATTTTTCTCTTCATAGAGAGCTATAAAGCAGACCCCGGGTGGCATGATGAAGCTTTGTTTCTGTCTTTGCATCCAAGCTAAACAGCGTGCAGTCCTGTGCAAACCAAACTTCCTGGGGAAGAAAATCCAAGGCTCTGAAACAGAGTGTCCAGAAAAGCCTGCGACGGTGCTGGATGCAGCGAACTGAATTCACGTGTTCCCCACTGGCTTGCACACAGCCCCACAGCTGAACACCAACAAGGGGCCCTGCGCTGCTTCGGTGGCAGTGGGTCCTGGAGCTGCGTCCTCGGCCAGGGATGAAAAAAGAGGGGAGGTGGTGGGGTGGGGTGGGGGTGGGAGGGGCTGACAAACTTTCCATTTCACAGTGCACTTGGAGAAAGACAAGTCCCTGAATTGTCACTGCAGTTTAAGCAACCCCAGCCATGTGGAAACTCAGGAGAGGCCTGAAGTCAGGATCATTTGTCAAGCGTATTGGGTTTCAAAAAGGAATCCTAATGGTCACTATTAAAGCCTTGCTAACTTCAGGAGAGAACCAGGGCTCTGTTAGGAGCTGGGCAGACGCCCTCCCTTGAACACTTTTCCTCCCTGTCTTGGGGCAGTTACTTGTCCTGTGAGTGGTGCCATAAGAGCTTTGGGGACTGGCAAACTCCATATGAGCTACCATTAATCCTCATTCTAAAGGCATGAAAAATGGACAGCTGCAAGGGTGTGGAAGGGGGTGCTTCTTAGTTACTTGTGGGGAGCGATGGCATAAACCTGGAAGGGGGAGGAGTCAGAAAAACAAACTTTGGGGTGTGGCCCAGACAAGGAATCAAACCCTGGCCGTCGTTCAACAGCCATTTCCCCTTAGAGGCCTTAGCTGTCTTCTCAGAACCTCTCAGTTTCCTCATCTGCAGAACAGAGGACATAAAACCGACCTCCTAGGGTTGAGGTGAGGATCCCATTCCTCAGCATTGTGCCAGGGCTCAGTAAAGATGAGCTCTTATGAGTTACTTAAGAATATATGAGCCTCCAGTTTTTGCCCATTCATTATGATATTGGCTGTGGGTTTGTCATAAATAGCTCTTATTATTTTGAGATACGTCCCAGGCCTGGCAGGCCAGCAGTGGCAGCAGCAGTGAGGACAGAAAATCTTCTAAAATAAATGTGCCTAGAGGAAGATCTGCCTTAAGAGAGAGATGTATCCTAGCTAGGGTTAGCTTTATTCTAGAGCATTTTTGTTGTTGTTGTTGTTTTTTGAGACAGAGTCTCACTCTGTCGCCCAGGCTGGAGTGCAATGGCACTATCTTGGCTCACTGCAACCTCCGCCTCCTGGGTTCAAGCTGTTCTCTTGCCTCAGCCTCCTGAGTAGCTGGGATTACAGGTGCCTGCCACCACACCCGGTTAATTTTTTGTATTTTTAGTAGAGATGGGGTTTCACCATGTTGGCCTGGCTGGTCTTGAACTCCTGACCTCAAGTGAACCACCCACCTTGGCTTGCCAAAGTGCTGAGATTACAGGTGTGAACCACCACAGCCAGCTATTCTAGAGCCTTTTAGCCAAGGTGTAGACCAGGGCTATTCAGTTCCCCCTGTGGGGAAGACTCTTACAAAGGGCTAATGTTAGATGAGGCAATTCCGGGTGTCCTAAGAGAAGTGAGAGCAATTAATCAGAACTTCAGTGTCTGCATGAAGACAGAACCGCACCCTAAAGCTAACTGGGACTTGCTCTGATACCTGGGCTTCCTTGTCCTTAGAGAGTTTGGATTCTGGGCTTGGAGAAAGCCAGGTACATCACAAGTCATTCACCACCTCTGCATATAGGAATCCTCATCCTTGACTCAGTTTGAGACAACAGTAGGATTCCAGTGCCTCCCAGACCCATTTCATCATGGAGGCAGGGCCTGGTTTGACTTGATGCTTCCAGCCGAAGAATCAGGACGTTGTCTCAATCCTTCCTTTCTCCTGGCCCTTTCTATCTATGGGTTCAATGAGATTCTAGACTCCAAAAAGAAGCTGATCTCAAATTCTTCATTTTGGTTTATCTAATTTGGAAATAAATACAATGATGGAGGATGAAAATCAAGGACAACTTCTTCAAGATGTTAGAGGAGAAACTGAAATACTGGGTAGATCCACAAAAAATGAATGAATAAATAAAAATTAATAGACAAATTCTCTGAAGAACTATACGAATTCCAAGGGAATTCTTCTGCCATTTTTGGAGATAACGGTCAAAACACAGCTCCATCAAACCTTCTGCTACCATTTTCTTGGTGATAGTATTAAAATTACATCACAGGGGAGGGTAGGTTCAGGGATCTAAAAAATCAAACCTGACAAGCAACAAGTCATGTGTTTCCAGGGGACATTGATTCCCAGGAAGTACTTTAGAAGATCAGTTGCTCTATAAGGAATATGGATTGAGGTCCCTGACTTTAGCCAGGGTTAGCCATATGTTCAAAGGGTCAAAGTAAGATATAGAAGCTCAGCTTCCAAAACTAGCCCTCTCCTCAGGGTCAATATCATTAGATGAATCTATGTCCCTTTTCTGAAGTAGAGGCCTCCCTGGGTGAACTTGGTTCAGAGAGGAAGAATATGGGCAAATCATAAGAAGTTTTTTAACATTTGATTTAGAGTAAGAATCCTAATTCCTCATGACCCACTCACCATCCAGGTGGCAGAAGACATGAGTTGATGTTCCCAGTTCCAACCAAACGGGTAATTTTTTTATTCATTTGCAAGGGTATGAGAAGTTCATTCAAACCCTTACTTTCCAATATAGCAGCTCCTGTTCTCACTCAATTTTTGGCAAAAGGTACTCAAAGTTTCAGCTTTATCCAAGAAGGCTTTGGGACTTGAGAGACTATGTTGAGAAATAGAAGATGTCATGAAAAACTACAGATTCAGCTCAATTCAGAACATAATTATTTCCATTCTCATTTCTTACTTATTGCGGTGGGAGCTGAGTACTTCACATGGAAAACAACAGTCAATTTCTAATAACACAAGGATATGTTTAGAAGTTAGATATATCTTGTTCAGCTAGTCTGTACTTAGGCACGTTTCTAAATATGTATTGTACTTTAATTTTTAAAAGTTGAGAAAAATTTCTTGCTTTTCAAAGTCCATCAACCAACTGTTGTTTATATACACATGTGTGTGCATAATTTTATTGAATTGATCCATATCAGAAAATTCATTCTATAGTAAACAGGTTTGCTTTTCCTGTTACATTGTAATTATCCTTGTCACAGATTTAAAAGTTTCTTCCACATAATTATACAATTAATTGTAACTTTACACTGTGATTTCAAAAACACAATTCTGATGAGACCATTTCAAGGTTGAAAAACCTCCCTTGGATTTCCACTTCCACCTAGGGAGTAGAAAGCTGGAAGAGTATCTGCCCACTGGAATAATAGGAAAAGGCAGAAAAAAAAAAATCATGCATTTCTTGAGCCCACTGGAGAACTGACCTCTCCCATTGGAGAAAGGACAACCAACAGCCCAAAACTCAGGAAAGGATAGGCTTGCCCAAGAAAGCCAGTATTCACTGACTGGCTTACCTGTGAAAATGCATGAGAGAAAGGGGAAGTTGACACATAAGTGCGTAAGTAGAAATAAGCTAAAATTTTAAAAAAATTCTGAAGGACAACAGTGGACTAACACAAAAGTATGGAATCCATGGAAGTCCCAGACAGAAAGGGAGCTTGCACTTTCACATACCTCCATGGGGTGCTCATGAGAAAGCTGAGGGGCAAGGTAGGAGACAGGGAGAACCCCCTTAGTGGTGCAAGTGTTGGGAAGTAGGGCAGCTGCCTCTATGAAAAAGGGCTGAAGACTTGCCCCTTGCCCCTTGCCTGAGGATCTTCTCTGAAAGAGTAAATGTCTTGAGCTTCTAGGGGAAAGGGACCAAATCTTGCATCCCAAGGTACAAGTGAGATCCATTGTTGCTACAAGAAAGATAAAACAACAACAACAACAACGGGCCAGGTGCGGTTGCTCATGCCTGTAATCCCAGCACTTTGGGAGGCTGAGGCAGGCAGATCACAAGGTCAGGAGATTGAGACCATCCTGGCTAACACAGTGAAACCCTGTCTCTACTAAAAATACAAAAAATTAGCCAGGCGTGGTGGTGGGCACCTGTAGTCCCAGCTACTTGGGAGGCTGAGGCAGGAGAATGGCTTGAACCTGGGAGGCGGAGCTTGCAGTGAGCCAAGATTGTGCCACTGCACTCCAGCCTGGGCAACAGAGTGAGACTCTGTCTCAAAACAGAACAAAACAAAACAAAAAACAACAACAATGAAACCACATTATCCCTGGTAAAAGAGAGGAAATAGTTTGGCATCCAGGAATCTATACTAATATAATTAGAGATCTCTTACTCCTGGTTGAGGGTGAGCAGACTTCTGATCAATATCTGTCACAGATACAAGGCAAAATTTGGCTGCCAAGTGGGAGACGGATGGGAACTCTGAGAAAGTCTCGCCTTAAAGTCCAGGAGCATAGAGCCTTCTGAAGACTCAGGGTGAATCAAGGCAACAGAGAACACTGCCTGTCCCTACTAGCCTGTGAAGCACAAAATAGCAAGCAAGAATATTCAACCTCTGGGGATGGAACTGGAGCATAGAGAGACACTCTCTGTGACGCAGGTACATGAGGATAATTTTTAAAGCTGATAATGGAGCATGAACACCAAAAAAAAAAAATCATACACAACCTCAGAACTGCACCCTATGCACAAGACATTATTAGAAGAATTTGACCTGGTAGTGCACTGAAGACAACAACAGTAAAACTCAATCTCTGACTAGATTGAATCACATGTAAATAACCTTACAGAAGAAGAGGCATACACATTTCCAGACATAAATTCTTGCTTTAGTCTTTACTGTTTTGCATACAATGTCCAGCATTTAATAAAAAAATTATAAGACAAAAAAGGCAGTGGGTGAGGAGGACAAACTTATTGTCAAGAGATAAAGCAATCAATAGAACCAGACTCAAATGGCCCAATGTTGAACTTATTACAAATAAACTCTATAATAATTATAATTATTATCTTAAAGGGCCTAGTGGAAAAAGTGGACAACTTTTATGAACAAATGGGCTATTTCACTAGAGAGATGGAAACTATAAGAGTTAAATTGACAAGCTAGAAATAATAATAAAACAATATCAGAGATGAAGAACTCCTTCAGTGGACTCATTGGCTAGATTCAGCCCAGGAAAGACTCAGTAAACTTAAAGATAAATTTTTGACTATCATAAATAGAAAAATTGCAGTTTTGACATTACCCAAATTAAAACACAAAGAGGCAAGACAGAAAAAGGAAAAGAAGCACAAACAAACACAGAGAATAGAAGGTCCAAGAGCTGTGAGACAATATAGGTAACTGGAGTTCCAGATAGGGAAGCTACAGATAAAAGAGTAGAAGCAACATTTCAAGGGACGATGGCTGAAAATCTTTCAAAAATAATGAAAGATATTGAGCCACAGATCCAAGAAGCTTGGAGGAGCCTCAGGATAAATAACAAGAAATAAAAAGTAAAAAAATAAAATAAGATCAACACACCTAGACATTTATATTCAAACTTCAGAAAACAAGACATAAAAGAACAGACCTGAGAGCAGCCAGAGGAAAAATACATAAAAGAAATAACAAAAATAAGAGTTATGGTAGATTTATCTTTAGAAACTATGTAGAAGACAATGGGCTGACATCTTTAAAGAACTGAAAGAAAATATCAAACCAGGCCAGATGTGGTGGCTCATGACTGTAATCCCAGCACTTTGGGAGGCCAAGGGCGGGGGTGGATCACTTGAGGTCAGGGGATCGAGGCCAGCCTGGCCAACATGATGAAACCCTGTCTCTACTAAAAAATAAAAAAAAATTAGCTGGGCATGGTGGCATGCATCTGTAATTCCAGCTACTCGGGAGGCTGAGGCATAAGAATTGCTTTCACTTGGGAGGTGGAGGTTGCAGTTAGCTGGGATTGCATCACTGCACTCCAACTTGGGTGACAGAGTAAGACTGTTGCAAAAAAAAAAAAAAAGAAAAAAGAAAAAAAAAGAAAATATCAAATCAGAATTCTTTACCCAGTAAACATATCTTTCAAAAATAAGGGAAAATGAACATTTTTCAAGCAAAGAAAAACTGGATTCATTTCCAGCAGATCTGCATTACAATAAATGTTAAAGAAAGCTCTTCAGGAAAAAGGAATCTGATTATAGACAGATACTTGGTATAAAATCTATTATTTATTATTTTTAATCATTGTAAAAGATAGTTGGTTTCCTCAAGCAAAAATATCAACAATGTGTTGCTGGATTTATACTACATGTAAAACTAAACTATATCACAACAACTGTACTTTCACGTTTTGATAGAAGAGAGGGATTAGAAATAAATTGTTGCAGGATTCTTACGATAAATGTGAAGTGGTATTATACTATTTGAAAGTAGACTATAATAAATTAAAGATGTATATTGCAAACCCTAGGGAAACCATATTAAAGTTTTGGAAAAGAAAATATTACTAATAAACATTGACTACAAAGGGGCATGAGGAAACTTTTTGAGGTGATATATTTACTTGTTCACTTGTTACAGCATTTGTAAAAATTCATAGATCTGTATACCTAAAAAGAATGATGTTTTACTGTATGTGAATTACACCCCAATAACTATGACCCTCCAAAAAAAACCCAAGAAATTTCTCAAGACTTTTTCTTTCCTCCTTCTTTTCCCTTCACTTCTTTACTAAAAAATAAGTTGTAGAGTCATCTTGGTGAGCTTAGCAATGTAGGCATACATGATGAGGGTGGAGGAGCCACTGTGGGTCCCAGTAGAATGTCAGAGTCTTTGCAGGGTAGAGGGATCACACTCCCAAGTTGTGGCCTTCTGCGGGGTGTTACAGTTCATCAGGATAAGGAGAATGTCACTGTGGGGGTGTAGCCTGGTATAGGTAGTCAGGGTCCAAACAGAGTGAAGAAGGCACCTCACAAGCAGGTGACTCAGGGTGGGGAGTCAAATCCTATGTGGGGTAAGTAAAGCATTCCCAAGTGGTGGTGGCACAGTGTGGGATGTCATAGCCCGAATGGAGTGAATAGTGTGTTTCTATGAGAGGAAGTCCAGCATGGGCGTTGGAGCCCAGGCATGAGAAAGAGAGTAAGATGAAATTGGTCCAGCAGGGATTGGGAACCAGAGCAGGGCAGGAAATGTGTCTTCATAGGGTAAGGGACGGGCATGGGATGGCCCAGCATGGTGTCCTGGGGCGGAGGTCAGATCCTGAAGAGAGTGAGGAGGATGTCCATGTAGAATATGGCCCAGCATTTGGTGTCAGATTAAAGAGGGGGCATCCATGCAGGGAATACAGGCTGGCACAATGTCTCAGAGCCCAGAGGGGTAGGAAATGCTTCCATGGCATGGGGTGTTGGGGCCCAAGCAGGATGAGGAGGGCTTCCTCCTCTGTCAAGCTAGAACACATGGTTTCAACTGCAATTTTGCTCAGGACAAATAACCTACTGAAAATGTGAGTTGAGTTGGAATTTTTCCTAATATATAGCCAGATGTACTGAATTTAAATAGAATGCTTGTACAACTTCCACTCAGTAGCACCAGGGAGAGGCAGCTACTGCAAAACCCAGGGGAGCTTCTGGCAGAACCATGAAAGTTGACTTGTCACCACTCAGATTCCCTTGGTGGATTTGTAGCTACTGGTATCAGTGGGGCTAAATGCCCCATGCAAGATAGAGCTAAGTACTCCAGGACCACCAAAGACTCCAATAATAAAGACATAGTTCAGTTTATGAAATTAGGAGACAGGAAATTCTTGGGGAAATGGTAGAAACCAACTTTTTGTATCAATCTACACCTATTGAGATTCTTCCTATCTTGTAAATATTTCCCATAATTATCATTCTCCCTGGAAACCAATTTCCAAATCTTCTATGCAAATGAAAACTCTTTCTTACCTATGCCCCTGTACAGTTTTTCAAACTTTTCATTATGGAAATTATTAAACATATACAAAAGTAAAGAGAATGACATTATGAACACCTTCTGCCATGTCCCAAATTTCTCAACTTCGACAATTACTAACACATGGCCAAACTGGCCCTCAAAGCCTTCTACTGGTATTCCTTTTTTGACAATTATGATCTGAACCTTGAGTTATTTCTGTATGAACCTCACACATCCATCTCCCTTCCCCATCTTCCCTAAAATATAACATTCTACAGGACAGAAACTGTATTGTATTCATCAGTGTAATTCTCACTGTATTCAGCAAATCCATGGCACATATCTGTTTAATTGAATTGAATTAATAGGCATTCAGTGATTCTGTTTGAGTTTTCTTTCTGTAAATACTAGAGGCAGATTTCTTCCCAAGAACGCCTTACTTTTTAATTTGGAATGAGAAAGTTGTATAGAAACAAAATATAGTGGAGTCAGACTGACTTCAGTCCAAATCATAGCTCCGCAAGTGATATATGTAATCTTTCTTGCAGCAGGCTACATGACCTTTATGAACCTCAGTTTATCATCTGTAAAATGTAGAACATGAAAATTACTATACATTTTGCTGCAAAAATGAGATTGTAAATGTGTATGTGTGCATTTATCAAATATCATGGCTGTCCAGTAATTTGTAGTTGGAGCAGAGTTAGACTTCAAGAAAGAGAGTGAGGGTCTTTTATAGCTTTTAGTTAAAAGACCATTCTGAAAAGGTTTCAAGATGGCTTATCAGAAGTGTCTAATATTTGCCTTCTCCAATGAGAACTAAAATAGTGAGCAGATAATCCCACTTAAAATAGATCATCCAAGAGAGAATATTGGAATTCAATAGAAAAGTGACAGGGAACACCTAAAGCAAGGAAGGAGAGGGAAGGTAGGCAGTCTGCTCAGTCAGGATTGGCTAAGAGTTATGAGTGACTTCCTGGTGTGAGAAAAGGGCAAATGAGAGACCCCCAGCAGTCCATATTCCCATCATGGACTTCTGCAGTCCTAACCATAGGAGAGCCCTAGATCCTTGCAAAACCTGAAACTACCATAGAGAGCTGCCTGTATACCATGTGACTGCACTGGTTCAGGAAGGAAGCTTGCTCTGGGTCCCACATTCCCCACAGGTTCTAAGCAGTTACAGCAAGGTGCCATTTTGAGAGCCCAGCTCACAATAGACTATATGCACTGTCCTGGGGCCCAGTGGTGCCTGGGCTGAGATGTAAGTAAAACGTGGGCTTCCACCAGGGCTGAGGCTGTCACCACCAAGACTGAGGCACAAGTGTTCCCCCTACTCCAGCATAGGCTGCCACCACTGAAGGCAGCCCCACCCTTTCCAGTGGTAGGGCCACAACACAGCTGCTTCCATCTCCCACCCAAGCATTCTGTTGGGAAGGCTGGAAATTGCCCCATCCCTGCCTACCACAGCAGGTGCCTGCACACACCATCAAGAGGCCTGAGTAAAAGGCCACCCCTCCTGGCTTTGCCCCTTCCATGCCAAATCATGCAGTACAGGGGCCTGGGGTCTGGGGATTGCCCAGACCACTTCACTACTGCTGGCATCTGAGGATCCCTCCCAGGTGCCTGATGTTGGGCCTACCCACCCTCTTACTACCACCACAGCTGGCACCTACGTGTATATGCTACTTATGGGCTCAGAGACTGGCCAATTCAGCTTATAACAGTCATAGCCAACATCAGCACATATCACTTGGGACCCAGAGTGTTTTCCCACCGCTATTGATGCCATCACTCAAACCATGCTGGCTGCCCAGGGACCCAAGAACCTGCCCACCTGCCTGGCCTTCTGCTGCCTCTACTGTCTTTCAAGCAAGCCATCTAGAGGCCCAAGAATTGGCCCACCTAGGCCTGTTGACACTGGTGCCAGTGAACGCTGCCCTGGGGTCAAAGAACAAGAACACTCAGTCCACTGCTGCCACCACTAGGGCCTAAAGATTGGCCATCTGGCACCCCAATTCCCAGCAAAACTTCACCACAGCCTCCACTAATAAAGTCACCTTAAGCCACTGAGGAAATCATAAACACCACTGACAGCTGTTTCTTCAGCTTAAGAAATCATACAGAGACCACTACTACTAATGCATGTGCACAGAATCAAAGCCAAAGTGCCATACCAAACCAACACCATAGATACATTTTCAGGAAAAAGTCCTCCCCTACAAAAGCAAATTCAAAACACTGGAAGAAGTAACTGTTACACCAGATGTGCAGATATCAATGTAAAGACACAGGAAATATGAAAAAGCAAGGAAATATGATATATCCAAAGGAAAACAATAATTCTCCAGTGATGGATTCTTATAAAAAACAAATTTACAAAATCCTGGAAAAAGAATTCAATATATTGATTTTAAAGAAACTCAATGAAATACAAGAGAATACTGAAAAACAGGACAAAGAAATCAGAAAAACAATTCTGTATTCAGTTATATGAATGAGTTTACCAGAGAGATAGATATCATAAAAAATAATCAAACAGAAATTATTGAACTGAAGAACTTATTGAATGAAATACAAAATACATTTGAAAGATTCAACAATAACCTAGATCAAGCAGAAGAAAGAATCTCAGAAATTGAAGACAAGTCTTTTAAAATAACCAAGTCAGACAAAAATAAATAAAAAAGAATGAGCAAAGCTTACCTGACGTATGAGACACCACAGGTGACAAAATATTCAAATTTTTGGTATCCCACAAGTCAAAGAGATAATAGAAGTTTTGGAAAATATATTTAATAAGATAATAGATGAAACTTCTGAGTCCAGCAACAGATTTAGACATCCAGATACAAGATGCTCAGAAATCCCTAAATAGACACAATGAGAAAAGGTCTTTATCATGGCACAATATAGTCAAACTGTCAAAAGTCAAAAGTCAAAGTCAAAGAGAGAATTCCAATAACAGCAAAAGGAAAGCCTCTAGTCACCTATAAAGGAATCCACATTATACTAACAATGAATTTCTCAGCAAAAATCTTACAGGCCAGGAGAGAATGGGATGTTATATTCAAAATACCGAAAGAAGCTGATCACGGTGTCTCATGTGTGTAATCCCAGCACTATAGGAGGCTGAGGTGGGCAGATAATTTGAGGTCAGGCATTTGAGACCAGCTTGCCCAATATGATGAAACCTCATCTCTACTAAAAAATACAAAAATTAGCCAAGAATGGTGGCACAAGCCTGTAATCCCAGTTACTTAGGAGGCTGAGGCAGGAGAATTGCTTGAACCCAGGAAGTGGAGGTTGCAGTAAACTGAGATTGCACCACTGCACTCCAGCCTGGGTGACAGAGTGAGACTCTGTCTCAAAAAACAAACAAGCAAAAAACAAAACAAAACAAAACAAAACAACAACAAAAAAAGTACTGAAGCCAAGGGTGCTATACCCAGGAAAATTATCCTTCACAAATGAAGGAGAAAGAAAGTCTCTACCAGACAGAAAAGCAAAAGCTGAGGGAATTTATCACCACTAGACTGTCCCCATAAGAAATACTTAAGGGCATCCCACACCAGAAGTAAAAGAATGTCATCTAACATCTTGAAAATGTATGAAAATATAAAAACTACTGGTAAAGCAGACACACAAACAAGGAAAAGACCCAAATGTTACTATTACAGGCAACCACCAACTATAACGGTAAATAAGAAGAGAGAAAGAAAGGAACAAATGATTTTCAAAACAACCAGAAATTATTTAATAAAATGACAGGAATAAACTGTCACATATTGGTAATAAACTTGAATGTGAATAAATCAAATTTTCCACTTAAAAAGCATAGATAGGTTGAATAGATTTTAAATATGACCCAACTATATGCTTCCTACAAGAAACCAATCTCACCTGTAAAGACATATAGACTGAAAATAAAGGGATGGAAAAAGATATTTTATGCAAATTGAAACCAAAAGTGAGCAGGAATAGCCACACTTATACCAGATAAAACAGACTGTAAGTCAAAAACAATAAAAAGTGACAAAGAAGGTCATTATATAATGACAAAGGGATCAATTCAGCAAGAGGATATAATAATTCTAAACATGCACTCAATACCAAAGCACCCGGATATATAAAACAAATATTATTAGATTTAAAGGGAGACGTAGACTCCAATACAATCATACTTTGGGACTTCAACGTCCCACTCTCAGCATTAAACAGATTATCTAGACAAAATTAACAAAGAAACATTGAATTTAGACCAAATGGACCTAACAGACATTTATAGAACATTTCACTCAACAGATACAGAATACAAATTTTTCTTATCAGCACATGGAACATTCTCCAAGACAGATTGTATGTTAGAACAAAAAACAAGTCTCAAAAATTTTCTTTAAATAGAAATCATATCAAGTATGTTCTCAGACCACAGTGGAACCAAACTACAAATTAATAACATGAGGAACTTTGGAAACTGAACAAATAAATGAAAATTAAACAACATGTACCTGAACGATCATATCAAGATAAAAATTAAAAAGGAAATAAAATTTCTTGCAACAAAATTAAAATAAAACACAACATATCAAAACCTGTGGGATACAGCAAAAGCAGTCCTAACAGTTTATATCAATATATGCCTACATCGAAAAAGTAGAATGACTTCAAATAAATGATCTAACAATGCACTTCCAGGATCTAGAAAAGCAAGAACAAACCAAACCCCAAATTAGCAAAAGGGAATAAACGAAGATCAGAGCAGAACTAAATGAAATAGAGACTAAGAAATACAAAGGATTGGCCCGCACAGTGGCTCATGCCTGTAATCCCAGCACTTTGGGAGGCTGAAGTGGGAGGATCACTTGAGCCAGGAGTTCAGGAGACCAGCCTGGCCAACATAACAAAACCCTGTCTCTACTAAAAATAGAAAAAAATTAGCTGGGCGTGGTAGTGTACGCCTGTAATCTCAGCTACTCAGGAAGCTGAGGCATGAGGATTGCTGCAACCTGGGTGGTGGAGGTGGCAGTGAGGTGGAGGTGGAGGTGGCAGGATCATACCACTGCACTCCAGCCTGGGCAACAAAGTGAGACTCTATCTCAAAAAATAAAATAAAATAAAAATAAAAAAGGAAATACAAAAGATCAATTAAGTGAAAAGTTGGTTCTTCAAAAAGATAAACAAAATTGATAAACTGCTAACTAGACTAAACAAGAAAAGGAGAGAGAAGACCCAAATAAACAAAATCAAAAATGAATAAGGAGACATTACATCTGACACCACAGAAATCAAACTTCATCAAAGACTATTATGAACAACTATATGCCAATGAACTGGAAAACCTAGAGGAAATGGATAAACCCATAGACACATACCTGCTACCAATATTGAATCAGGAAGAAATGGAAAACCTGATCAAACCAGTTATAAAAAGTCTCCCAACAAAGCAAACTCCAGGACTGGATGGCTTCACTGATGAATTTTACTCAACTTTTAAAGGAGGACTAATACCAATTTTCCTCAAGCTATTCTAAAAAATTGAATAGAGAATTCAAAAACTCATTGTATGACGTCAGCATTACCCTGATACCAAACTAGACAAGAGCACAACAAAGAAAGAAAACTACAGACCAATATACCTGATGAATACAGATGCAAAAATCCTTGACAAAATACTAGCAAATGGAATCCAACAGCTCATCAAAGAAATAATACACCATGATCAAGTGAGATTTATCCCAGGGATGCAAGGATGGGTCAACGTGCAAATCAATAAATGTTATATATCACATCAACAGAATGAAGGACAAAAACCATATGATCCTCTTGATAGACACAGAAAAAGCATTAGATAAGATTCAACATCACTTCGTGACAAAAACTCTCAACAAACTATGCATAGAAGGAATGTACCTCAACATATTAAAGGCCATGTATGACAAGCCCACAGCCAAAATCATACTGAATAGGGAAAGGCTGAAAGCCTTTCCTCTAATATTTGCAATAAAGCAAATATGCCCACATTCACCACTCCTATTCAGCATAGTACTGGAAGTCCTAGCCAGAGCAATCAGGCAAAAGAAAAAAATAAAAGGCATCCAAATTGGAAAAAAGGTAAGTCAAATTTTTCCTCTTTGTTGATGATATGGTTAATATCTAGAAAAACCTGAAAACAACAAAAAACTCTTTCATTGATAAATTCAGTAATGTTGCAAGATACAACATGAATATGCAAAAATCAGTAGCTTCTTATACACCAATAACAGTGAAGCAGAGAACCAAATCAAGAAGGTAATCCTATTTACAATTGCTACAAAAAATATAACAAAATACCTGAGGACAAATTTAACCAAGGAGGTGAAAGATTTCTACAAGGAAAACTACAAAGCATTGATAAAAGACATTGAAGAGGACACAAACAAATGGGAAAACATCCCATGCTTATGAATCAAAATAATTAATATTATTAAAATGACCACATTGCCCAAAGCAATCCACAGATTTAATGCAATCTCTTTCAACACACCAATGTTATTTTTCATAGAATTAGAAAAGACAATCTTCAAATTAATATGAAACCATAAAAAGAGCCAAAATAGCCTAAGAAAAAAAAGAAAGAAAGAAATTCCAAGCAAAATAAACAGAGCTGGAGGTGTCACACTACCTGGCTTCAAAGTATATTACAAGGGTATAGTAACCAAAATAGTATGGCATTTATATAAAAACAGACATATAGACCAATGGAACAGAATAGAGAACTATAAATAAGTCCATGTGTTTACAGCCAGCTGATTTTCAACAAAGGCACCAAGAACATGCATTGGGGAAAGAACAGTCTTTTCAATAAATTGTGCTGAGAAAATTGGATATCCGTTATGTAGAGAAATGAAACTGGAACCCTATCTCTCACCATATACAGAAATCAAATCAAGATGGATTAAAGACTGAAATGTAATACCTGAAACTATAAAACTAATAGAACAAAACATAGGGAAAACAATTTAGGACACTGGTCTAGGCAAAGATTTTATGGCTAAGACTGCAACAACACGGACAACATACACAAAAATAGACAAATGGGATTATATTAAACTAAAATCCTTCTGCACAGAAAAGGGAACAATCAACAGAGTGGAGAGACAACCTGTTGAATGGGAGAAAATATTTGCAAACTATTCATCTGACAAAGAACTAATATCTAGAGTATACCAGGAACTCAAACAACTCATCAATCAAAAAAAAAAACAAATAACTCATTAAAAAGAGGACAAAGTACATGAATAGACATTTCTCAAAGGAATATATACATATAACCAACAGGTACATGAAAAAATGCTCACCATCACTAATCATCAGATAAATACAAATCAAACTTACAATGAGATATCATCTTATACCAGTTAGAGTGGTCATTAAAAAGACAAAAAAAAATAGATTCTGGCGAGGGTGTAAAGGGAACTCTTATACACTATAGGTGGGAATGTAAATGAGTACAACCACTATGGAAAACAGTATGGAGATTTCTCAAAACAACTAAAAATAGAATTACCATGTGATCCAGAAATCCCACTACTGAGTATTTTCCAAAGGAAATCAGTATATCAAAGGGACACCTGCACTCACATGTTTATCACAGCATATTCACAATAGCAAAGATATGGAATCAACCTAAATACCCATCAACAGATGAATAAATAAGGAAAATGTGGTATATACACACATTGGAATACTATTCAGTCATAAAAATGAATGAAATGATTTGCAACAACATGGTTGAAAATGGAGGCTATTGTGTTAACTGAAATAAGCCAGGTACAGAAAATCAAATACCATATGTTTTCACTCGTATGTGGGAGTTAAAAAAGTTGATCTCGCGAAGGTAGAGAATAAAATGACAGATACCAGAGCCTGGGAAAAATGTGTGGGTGGGAGTGGGGAGGAAGGAAGATGGGTTAATGGGTACAGACATACAGTTAGAATAAATAATTTCTAATGGTCAACAGTAGAGTAGGGTAACTATAGTTGGCAATAATGTATTATATATATCAAAGCAGCTAAAGGAGGACTTGAAATATTCCCAACACATAGGAATGATAAACACTCAAGATGATGGGTATCCCAGCTTGATCATTACATATTCCATGCATGTAATAAAATTTCACATGTACCCCATAAGTATGTAAAAAATTATGTATCAATTTAAAAGACCATTCCTAGGAACACTCCCAAAAGCCTTGGGGTCCAAACAAACCACTTGCCCAGTAGAAAATGCTGAGCCAGGTTTTGGAGTCCATTTGAATGGGAGAAATGACTACCAACTATGTTTCTCAGCTTGAGGACTCTGCTGACATACATTTAATTGCATTAGCCAAAAATTTTTTTGAAGTAAAAGAAAACTGCAACTCTATTAATAATTCATTTTCAAAATATTATTTCCCAGAGACTGTAGTAATTATAATAATGTGGCAACTATACCCACCTCTTCTTGATAAATCACCCAAAATGTATTAACTTTTAGTAGTATATATTTATGGCAAGCCATATTTATGTATTCATATTTACTGGTATACTTTGCCTAGTGTGTAGGCTTTGCAACTGGTAGATATGCCTGAAATAATTCTTATTAGCCACAAAATTTTCTCTAATTTTGCTGAATTTTAAGTTGACAGCATAGCTATAGGAGAGAAACTGTCAATAATCATTTGCTGTAAATTTTAATTGGTTTCCAATTCAGTTGTGTGAAATAGATTTTCAAAGATTATTTAATTATATGAGATCTATATCTCATATTAAAAGGACATATCTTGCTATGATTCAGTGCGATCAGAGGAGAAAGAGCTTGAGCAAAGGATGGGTATATCAAAAATTAACTCAAGATGGATTAAAGACTTAAATGTAAAACCCAAAACCATAAAAACCCTAGAAGAAAACCTAGGCAACACCATTCAAAATGTAGGCATGGGCAAAGACTTCATGACAAAAATGCCAAAAGCAATTGCAACAAAATCCAAAATAGACAAATGGGATCTAATTAAACTGAAGAGCTTCTGCACAGCAAAAAAAGCTATTGTCAGAGTGATCAGGCAACCTGAAGAATGGGAGAAAATTTTTGCAATCTACCCATCCGACAAAGGTCTAATATCCAGGATTTACAAGGAACTTAAACATATTTACAAGAGAAAAACACCCCCATCAAAAAGTGGGCAAAGGATATGAACAGACACTTCCTAAAAGAAGACATTTATATGCCCAACAAAATGACGAAAAAAAAGCTCAACATCACTGATCATCAGGGAAATGCAAATCAAAACCACATACTATCTCATGCTAGTCAGAACGGTAATTATTAAAAAGTCAGGAAACAATAGATGCTGGAGAGGCTGTGGAAAAATAGGAGTGCTTTTACACTGTTGGTGGGAATGTAATTTAGTTCAACCATTGTGGAAGACAGTATGGTGATTCCTCAAGGATCTAGAACCAGAAATACCATTTGACCTGGCAATCCCATTACTGGGTATATACCCAAATGAATAAAAATCATTCTACGTGTCTATAAAGACACATGCACATGTATGTTTATTGCAGCACTATTTACAATAGCAAAGACATGGAACCAACCCAAATGCCCACGAATGATAGACCACCATGGCACACATATACCTATGTAACAAACCTGCACGTTCTGCACATGCATCCCGTTCTTTTTTTAGAAGAAATTAAAGAAAAAGGATGGTTATACAAAGTACAGGCTTAGAAGAATTTTTGTTTTTAATTTCAAGGACCCTGCACCACTCATTTCATTCATGTGGATCCATTGCAGCATCAGAGGGGCCATAATCCATAATACCTCACAGTCTGGGAAAGCAGAAATACATTTTGTTTTGTTTTTTTCTTCTTAAGGCCCAGTTGGCAAAGCACAGGCCCCAGCTGGCTGCACATGATCATTCATGGAGTCCTTCATCATGCTTGCTGGAGAACGAGAACAGGAGTGGGAACAGGAGCCACAGATAAGGGCTGTTCATGCATGTGTCCCTTATGGCTCACAGCGTAGTTCCTGATGTGGCCTGGTTTTTTGTAAGCTTCAGAACAGAACGAACTCAGATAGGATGGATCACACTCACCAACCTGCCACCTTCCTAATCTGCACAGGCTGGGGGAGCCAAGTGTGTGTGCATGAGGAGTAAGATGACATGGTGCCCATTCCTGCGATGGGGAAAAGACTGTCTTTTAGACTTTCCTCTCTGGATCTCCATTTTGTTCCTTGGTTAATGGGTACAAACATACAGTTAGATAGAATAAATAAGTCTTCCTCTTTCCCCACACCTTCATAGACCTCCTTCACACATTTGAGGTTGGCTGGACATATGCACTATACAATGGATCCAAACATTACCAGGTGACTTCAACAACCCCCTTACCCTAGCCTCCAATGAGTAGACTTTTGTCATTGTCGCCTTTCCTTGTTGCATCCTCATTAAAGCATCTGCATACCACTCCTCTCCACTACTCACCAATTTATTCAGATGACAGTAGATCTACCCGTCTAAGCGTGCCATAACCCACCATCCAGGGATCTCTGCACTACTGTCAGGGCAACAGGGCATTTCTGTATCCTCTCCATGGTGGGCTACATGGGCAATCTGGGGATGGGAGACTGCCTCCGGCTCCTTCTGCCTCAGTACTTCACTCAGCCACTTCTATTCTGCTGAAGCTTCCCCATGCTGTGTAGTGGACTCCTCAGAAGGCCTGAATTTAGAGACAAAGTGAGAGACCCCAACTCCAGTCCCTCTACCTCCAGCTTCATTCTCCCATCATCAGGGACTTGCACCAAAGCAAGGCAGGATACAATCCCCTCCCTGAGAATTCACCAGCATCTAAAGCTCAGACCAACCCACATCTGGCACTATTATTCCAATCACTGGCAAATATTTCTGCCTCCTATTGTGTGGGAAGACTGTGCAGCATCATCCATTCTTTCCCACTCCATTCCCATATATTTTATGCCCCCAGTTCTCTAGATATTTTGCCTCCTTGTAATCAGCATCAAGCTTACGAACCCCAAAATAAAATTTCCCCCCAAACTCCCCCAGCTCTTGCCATTTAAAAGCCACAGCTTTCAATACTGTTGTGTCTGCCATAGAAACTCAGAGCCAAGAATTTGACTCTATTCTTGGCTAATCACCCCTTCTCCTTTTTACAGAGGGCTCTGTATAAAGAATGCCATTGACGGCCGGGCGCAGTGGCTCACGCCTGTAATCCCAGCATTTTGGGAGGCCGAGGTGGGCAGATCACCTGACGTCAGGAGTTCGAGACCAGCCTGATCAACATGATGAAACCCCGTCTCTATTAAAAATACAAAAATTAGCTGGGCGTGGTGGTAGGCGCCAGTAATCCCAGCTACTCAGGAGGATGAGGCAGGAGAATCGCTTGAACCTGGGAGGTGGAGGTTGCAGTGAGCCAAGATAGCACCATTGCACTCTAGCCTGGGCGACAGAGTGAGACTGTGTCTCACAAGAAAAAAAAAAAAAAAAAAAAAAAAGAATGCCATTGACACTATCAATGGTGGGAAAAGTCATAAAGTCATGAGTACAAGGAATCTCCAGGGAAAGAACCTCAAGTAATAGCTCAAATTCAAGGAATAGCTCAAATATACATTTCAAATTACACTGGACTCCTTTCCAGCACCAACCCTTAACTCTAACCCCCAGGCTGAATGCTTTATGTCAGGAAGGGGATCTGATTAAGTTACAGTGTTAGAGTCTACCAAGGACGTGGCTGCTTTTTTGCCTTTTCATATTGGCCCTGTATTCATTTCCTGTGGCTGCCATAACAAAGTATCATAAACTGGTGGCTTAAACAACAGAAATGTATTGTCCCACAGTCCTGGAGGCAAGAAGTCTGAGATGACGTTGTTGGCAGGGTTGGTTCCTTCTGTGGCCATGAGGGAGAATCTGCTCCATGTCGCTGTTCTAGCTTCTGGTGGTTTTCTGGCAATCTCTTGCATTCCTTGCTTGGCTTGTAGATGGTGTTCTCTCTTTGTCTTCACATTGTCTTCCCTCTGTACATGCCTTATTCTCTTCACAGGATGGTCTATTTTAGAAGGACACCAGTCATATTAAATTAGGAAACTACTCTTCTCCAGTGTGACCTCATCTCAAAGTAATTACATCTGCAATGACTCTATTTTCAAATAATGTTACATTATGAGGTACTAGGGGGCTAAGACTTCACATATACGAGTATGGTGGAGTAGGAGGGCACAATTCAACCCACAACAAAGCCTTTTCTCTTCCTTCAGCTGCTCTGAACAGTGTGTGAATTGAAAGACTTCTGATTTCAGGTTGTCTCTTGCTACTTATCTCATTAGAGAGAAGCATCCTCTCAGTCTCAGCCTTGTCATACAGGATAGCAGTGCTTCTAAATCAGTGGCACCTGGGATCTGAAATACTTACTTGAAGATTTATTGATTCATAATTAGTTATAAGAAGATCAAGAAGAGTGGCCAGGTGTGGTGGCTCATGCCTGTAATCCCAGCAATTTAGGAGGGTAAGGCAAAAAGATCGCTTGAGTGCAGGAGTTTGACACCAGCCTGGGCAACATAGTGAAACCTTGTCTCTCCAGAAAAAAAAAAAAAAAAAAAAAAAAAGGAAGATCAAGAAGAGTGTCTGCCCTGGTGTTTAATTCATATTTAATTTGACTTCATTCCGGTGCCCATGAGGTTCATATTTAGTTTTCTTTTTCTCGTAATCCTAACTTCACGCACTCATTTAGTTTAGCTCACAATTAAATACAATTTATATTCAGCTGCAATTCCAATGACTAATTAAGCCAAGCCTATGGCATAATGCCTGGTAGTAGCTGGTAACCTGGCATGAGTGGGCAGGTGCCTAAGAAGTCCTGGAGCCAGCTAAGGTAACACTTTTTGTTTCCCCTCTTGAAATTGTAGACAAGCCAAACTTGTTGTGCCAAACTTGTGTAATCCTTTCAGTCTGTAGGTCTGAGCCTGAGAGCTCAGGCTCTAATAGATTAATGGGCCAGTATTTCTAATACATCTATGTTCTCATTGTTTACTTATCTTCCAGCACAGAGTTGTTGGAGCAGATGCTGATACCAGGAGTTTTCTTATCTTTAGATGGAGTAACAACCTCTTTTCATGGCAGAAAGGGGGTAATGAATGTGTCAACTGAAGAATGACAAGGCTCATAAATTTGGAAAGGAAAGCTTTATTTCTCATAAAGGGCTACAGCCTGCAGGGTAGCCATTCTGACAGGCTGGGAAGTGTTTTGGGGAAGCCAAAAACAGATGCTTCGAGGGAGGGGCAAAAGGAACGGGAATTTTTGCTAAATGAGGTGGCCAAATATACATATTCAATAAACTATAGGAGAAGTCATAAATATTTATGAAAGGAGAAACATACGTATATGCAATTGAGTTTTATGCTTCTCTATGGGTCCCATGTACAAAAAAATGCTGTTAGCATGATCTGAGGGTGGAGTTTTGGCCCCCGATGTCAAAAGTGATGCAGAGGACACAAAAACCCTTACTGTGCATCTCCATAGACTGCCCAGAACCACTCCATGGTGGGTGGTCTCTTATCAGGCAAAAAAGGAGGGGCAGCATCAGGTGGCTGGTAGGGCTGGTTTCTGTTTATCCTTTAGGAAAGAGACTCTATTTGTGGTTATCAAGGGAGGGGGTTTTAATGAGCTGTGTCTGATCTCCCATGCTGCCATGGCCGAGAACTCAGTTTTCAAGGTTACTCTGGGGTCACCTTGGCCAAGAGATGGGGTCAGTTGGGGGCTTAGAATTTTCCTTTTAGTTTATGATGTCTCTTCCCTCCCCTGGAGAGAAACTAAGAAAGACAAAAGCTCCATGTCTCCTCCAGAATTTTAACAGAGGGTGGAGAATCAGATTTGACTTGAGGTGTCCAATTTTAGAAGATAAAGAGAGTAGTTATTTTAAAATACTGCACAATTTTTAAGCCCCTTCCACCTCAACCTCTGAAAATATGTCTAGTCCCTCACAGTCACAGTGGCAAGCCCATTTCAGGCCCTGGTCCACACACTTCTAGCTGCTGGTGTTTCCTGGTGGTTACTACCTGGGCTCCAGTCGTTTTGTTTGGGGCATCCACTCTCTACCTGTCTTCCTTCCACTTCTCTCCACCCTCCTGCTGAACAAGCACCTCCGCTGTGTTCTCCAGAGACTGGAATTACTTCCTCCATCCCAGATTCAGCCCGTCTGCCAGATGGTGGTGTAAAAATATTGCTAATACTTTATTGCCAGGTTTTATTCAATGTTAATGTCAAAAGTATGCATGGGAGTAATCATGCCTCTCTCGATATACATCATATCATGTTTGATATCAATTTTACTTAGTTGAAAATGAAACTTAATCAATGTTGAGTATTTGGTTTGCTACTCACAATGTACAGATACTCCCACATGTCCCCAAAGAAGCATTAGCTGCCAATAGGGAGGGTTTAAACTTGGTTATGTACGTTACTCTTAAAAGCCAAGGTCAAGTGGAGCATGGACGACCATATTATTATTCCACACACAAGATTACTGGACATCATAAAACTCATACTGGAGAAGCAGCAGTGGAAAGTCAAAGCCAGAATTGACTACAAAAGCAAAGACAAAGGGGCCAGCCAGAATTACAGAGTAACTGGGTGTTGAAAGCTAGTAGCCAAGAAAACATTAGGATCCACTTTGGGAATCTGTGCTAAGCTAAAAACTGGAAGGGTCAAAGGAAATAACAAGAAATTTGTGGAGACCAACCCAATACCAGCAGAGAGCTTCCTTGGCATAGGGCTTTTCTTGATGTTCACATATTACCATTTCCACTTAGCTACTTCTGAGTGTTTGTGTGTCTGAAATAGTGGATCTTTGGCAACTATGGTTATGTGGTGCATTTTTGCACGGTCAAACCATTATTCATTATCTTTAAAACTGTGCAAAATGTTATCAACAGAGAGAAATTAATCCCATTATTCAACTGGAATGCTTTATTTTTCCACATTTACTGTGTTTACCATGGAAATGGATAGATAATCTTTGAGTAAGTCATTGACACCAATACTGGCTTGGAGATGTTGTTTCTATTAATAGCATGGGAAAGAATATTTGGATAAGAAATGATAAATGATGACCTTGCACTCTTCAGACTCCCAGCTAGATTGCTAACAACTTCCTCTCCCATAACCCCATCCTCAGAGTTTCTATGCTTTCCCTTAACTTTTTATTTCTGCCACTTACTCCATGTTAAGTCCTTTGGATGCTGCTGGATCATGGAAACACATAGACCACAACTGCATTTATGTATTGATCTCTTTTACTGCAGTGTGATGGGGAGGTGAAGATGGCCCTGAGTCTGAGGGAGTGAGGAAGGAAGGAGACTCTCGTCTCCTTTCCCTGTCAAGTTCTCACAGGTAGTGCTCGTGTGCTGGTGCACTTGGGTCAATGAGCTGTATAAACAGCCTATCTCTAACAGAAATTTTGTAAGACTAGGTCTTTATGATAAAACCAGTTTAAGTGGGAGAGTTTTGGGGTTTTAGTCAATTCATCAATTCATTCAATAGATATATATGGAGAGTTGACATGATACTTAGTATTCCTCTAGGTGCTAGAGATTCAGCAGTGAACATAAGGAAGTCCGGCCCTCAGGGAGATGGTATTTTAGTAGTTGGTTGTGGTTAGGGGTGAAGGGGGCTGGTTGGGTGGTAATGGGGAATAGATGATTAACAAGTACAAAAATAAATATATTAGGAGGTGATACATGCTATGAAGAAAAATAAAACAACACAGGGTTCAGGGTTAGAGAGTGATGGCTGGCTGTGAAGGGGATCTGTGTTATGCAGGGTACTCAGGGTCTCTGATGAGTGGTGATTTCAGCAGTGACCTGGAGAAAGAGTGGAAGCCAGCCACGCTCTACCTGCCCACCCTTTGCCCTGCCCCCACTGTAGGATTCTTTGACACCAGCACAGTCCCTACCCTTCCCTTCCATAGCCCGTACAGTCAACTCAGTCCTTGCAGTGACCCCCTATTTGGACCTGTATCTTTTATAGAACCTAAAAGAGCATACGAATATACATTTGCCTCAGTCAAGTGAAAATAACATATAGGCAACAAATAAAATACAAGTAAACCAACAAATAAAATATGAAGCTATTCTTGGGTGATTTGCCATCCTGGTTGTTTTGCTTGGTTACAGGAGTATGTTGCAGCTAGTTCTGTTGTAATTATTGTTTGTTAGATACTGTACCTCATGATATCACAGGTGGACATGAATCCATTGTTTCACCCCCAAGAGCCTCTCAGCAAGTCCCCACCCAGAAAGTCCCTTCTCCCCAGAATCAGGGAGCATTAGCTTGCCATCGGCACTGGGCCCACCACACTTCCCTGTACTAGGAGAGGGCTCAGAAGGCCCCAGGTTGTCTGTAGCCCCAGAGGGATGTGGAAAGATAGCTTGGGGAAGAAGCTACTTCTGCACTCTGTGCTCCACCTCCTGCTGCTATGAAGAAATCACAAAAGCCAACAGGTGCCTATATGAGGGAAGCATGGTAGGCCCAGTGCTGGCGGCAAGCTGATGCTTCCTGCTGCTGTGCAGGGCCTTCACCCTCACCCTCATCATGACCATGGGTGTCCTGGTCTCCCAAGGGGCATTCGGTGGGTCAGGGTTGCCGTCTTTGAGCACAACCAGGGAAAGCTGTGTAAACACATCAAGCACATCTGAGGACTGAAACAGCTGTCTTGAAATCTCAGACAAGGGCTGGAGGGAGCAGGTTCTACCAGCAGCTGCCTCTTCTGCCTCTTCTCTGCTGGAGCCTCAGCTTGAGGAAGAAGCTACTTCTGCATTCTGTGCGCCACTTCCAGCTGCTATCAAGAAATTACAAAAGCCAATACACTCCCAATATCTGAAGCAGGTTTAGAAAAAACTAGCCTGCAAATAATTGCTAGTTGTTCTTGGGATAGGGGGAGTCGATCTCTTGGGAACCAGTCTTCTAGATAGGAGCACACTTCAGGAGCCAGGGGCTTCCTAGAGGGGAAATAGTTTGCAGGGATGGAGTGGGCAAAGCCAGCCCAAGGAACATGGGACCTGAGAGAGGACATAGCTGAACCAAACACTGCCCAAGGAGGATGCCTCATTGAATGTGAGACCAGTGTGTTTTTTGGAAACTTTATTCTAGTTCCTGAGCTAAAGTACAGTTTTCTTTTTTTCTTTCATTGACTGGATCTCATGAGCAATTCACTTTCCATCAGGGCCAATCTTCTTATCCCCAAAGTAATTGAAAATGGTCCTCTAGTGAAGGCAGACCAGATGTTTTCCAGGGGCTGATGGTCATGACACTTGATGTTTACAAAGAGTTCTAAAGATAGAAATGAGATCTTTTGAAATTCTCCCTTTCCTTTTTTAATGAGAAAATATTTCTTACCATAAAGGTTCTCATCACTTAATAATCCCACAAGCCTGGGGCTGAAATCTATAGCTAGATTAATTTTTTTTGTCAATCTTGATACAAATTCTTTCAAGCTTAATGGGGGAAAATGAGAAGAGAGAATGGTAAAAAGGATCAAGACTACTTAAATGTTTATCTCTTGTGGAATTTTTACTCTTAAAAAAGGTAGTTGTTACATGGAAGCAACATTTGAATGGATTTATCAGAAGACTCACACACGCAATAGAAGCATGTTTTATTACCTCCTCTGTGCAGGCATAGGAGATGGGGGACGAGGACTCAGTCACCAGCCTTCTTCCCTCCGTTTGTGTCTCTGTGTCTGTATTCAAATCTCCCTCTCTTCTCATAAGGACATCAATCATTGGACACCTAATTCACGATGACCTTGTCTTAACTTGATTACATCTGCAGAGACTCTATTTCCAAATAAGGCCACACTCACAGAAACTGGGGATTAGGACTTCAATACATCTTTCTGTGAGGCACAATGTAACCTACAACAACATCTTAGGATAATATTCTGTTGTCTGTTGATATTGATGATTTCCCTGAATGCCTCATTGTCCTCATTATTATGTTCCAGCATGTTGATTTCATATAGCGTAGTCAATTTTAACAGCCCTGAAAAAGAGTTCACAAGTGATGGAATCTGTGTTATGAGTTCATTATGTAGCTCACTGGTGTCTTTATTATTAAAGACATTTCTCATTTTCCTAAAAGGTTTTTTGATTGAAGTGTTCTATGATTAACTTTTAAAAAATATTTTCTGAAGGAAATACAGCAAAAGATCATAACTATCCTAAACACAGTCTCCAAAGATAATAGCCATAGAATTCTATCAAGGATATCATGTATGTGAGGGATCTCATTGCCCAGGTAGAAAGTTTCACTTGATCCAAGTCCCTGGCTTCTGGAGGAAGCAATGCACCTTTGAAACTGTCTTTGCAAAATTACAACAGTATGAGAAATCTGATATAGTTGACTCCATCTTGCTTCTGATCTCCAAGTTGTTCTTGATCATTTCTGGGCATAGGCCAAGCTAACTTTGGGAGGAATTTAGTTTATAGTTTTACCTCAAAGCAAAGATGATAATAGCCCTTCCTAAAACTAAATCACATTTGTAAAGCTAATGAAAGGCCAAGGTTAGGATTATGAAAGGGGCCTGAATTCTGATAAGATAGGCATAAATTCTATAATCCCTTACTACTCTGGAGTTGTGTGGTTAGAGGTCACAAGATTTGTGACTTTCCCATTTGTTCCAATAGGTAACATCACTATCATGGAACTTAAGATTTGTTTTTGAGATATCTTCCAGAGCGACCCCACCCAGAGTCATGATTCGTGATTCAACTGAGCCTGTGTCCCCATCCAGAGGCAGACTCAACACATGAGGACAGTTTTCCACACCCTTGTGACTTCATCCCCAACCAATCAGTAGCACCCATCCCCCAGCCCCCATCCACCAAATTGTCCATAAAAAACCTAAGCTCCAAACCTTCAGGGAGGCTGATTTAAGTGATAGCTCCAATTCTCCCATGTGAGCTAGCTTCATGTTAATTAAACTCTTTCTCTACTGCAATGCCATAGTCTCAGTGGATTGATTTTATCTGTGCAATGGGCAGGAAGAACCTGTTGGGTAATTATACCTAAGCATGACACATTCACGACTGGTTCTCTTATTGAAGAATAGAACCTCCCCAGACAGGTTTCTGTAAATACACAGTTGCATGGTAAATATGGTGTCCTCAAGGTAGAGCGTTCTAAGTTTTTACAGAGTTAAAATATCATGGCAAACCTCAAATTGTTGTGAATGCTTATATACTCCTGTGCATGTGTGTCACTTTACCAAGAAAAATGTGTCTGAACAAAGATTCAATTTATTTTCCTAAGCCCTCAGAAAAAAAAATGGATACATTATTGTGATTTTTCCAGTTCTATAAACATGTGTGTTTTTGTATGTTTATATACCCGAGTATGCCTTTCAAGTTCAGGCGTAGAATCCTATGGCTTTTGCAACTTGGCCCTCCCTATTTATTATAGTCCACACTGCTGCCTGGGTTAGATCAATGGGCTTTCAACCTTACCCTGTACCAAGATGTACAGATTACAGTTGAGCTCGCAGAGGGGACTGTTCTCCTTCACGCTCCCACTGGTTGTGATTCATCAACCTTCGTGCCCTGCTGAGACCCCTGCTTGGAGGCATTTGAGTTTCTCAGCCTTCCAAACATACCTCAGGGTCCTGTGGAATCTCAGCACCATGAATTGTGCCCCCTATTTCAGCTATAGCAACAAGTATCTTAACCCCATGCTCCTTAAATGTCTGTAACCATGATAACTAAACCTACAGGTCAGCTCTGCATCTGTAGATTCTCCTGACTCAATCTGCAACCCCAGTCACCCTGGATCTCTGTCCTGTAGCAATGAACAGCTTCATCCCTGTGGTAATTGATACCTGTGCTGGGCATTTTCCCTTTGCCCTCTGACCCACTGCCCCTTGCTCTGTGCCCATGAAGGCTGAACTCTGGGGGCTTCTTCAATATGTTCCCTTGCCTTGAAATGATTTTCTTCAATGGCATTTATAAGCAGGAAGTCAGAAGATGGAAGGAGCTGGGTTGAAGGGTATTAGTGACTCATGCAAAGGCTGTAGATCCTCCACCCCCAACCTGGGAGACCCACCTGTGTCTCAGGATTCTGGTAGAAAAGATTCACTACCTGCCCTTGTCATTTCAGTTTCAGGGATGACAAAGGCTCATTTCAGGTTCAGGGATGACAAAGTCTCCTACTATCACTAGCCCTGTGGTGTTTCACTGGACTTTGTTGGTTTCTTTTAAGCTTATCCGTTCATTTTGCAAGTAATCACAGTTTTAAACTTTCTATAATTACCCACATTTAATCTGCCATATTTTCCTTCTGGGATGCTTCGAGTCTACTTTGCCCTTAAATTTGCTGCTGAAAAACATGAATGTTATGATCATTTATAAGGAATGTGATAGAATGATAGTAAAGTACTGAAGTTTACAAATGATTTCCTTTTTAAAGCCAGTTTGAGTTGAGGCAAGGCTATCTCTATAATAACATCACTCTTACTTGAATTCTTCTATACTCTCTTAAGCAAGGGCAAAGGCGTGGAGTTGGCACAGTCTAGCTGGGAATTGCTTGTGGGGCGTGATGCACATCTGAGCACCATATCATGTCCTTCCCGTGCTTCCCTCTAGAACAGTTCCCTCGGTCTTGGAGCCCCTTTCTGGAGGATGGCCTCTGTGCCTGTCCTGGATTAATCATCCTCTTAGTGAGTATTTAGTGGAATGCATTGAGCAGCATGAGTGGCTGGGTGACAGCACCTGTGTCTGGGGCACAGCCTCTGTCCCATCTGAGTCTTCCTGGCTCTCAGGCATGCTTTTCCTCCCATCCTTGCTGTGTGAGCCATCATTACTTCACAAACACATCTGGCTTCCTCTTCTGCCTTTCCAGAAGAGGGCAAGGGATACTAATGAAGTTCACAGAAGGCTGTAATACAACCCTTTAGTCGAACACACCCTGTGGAATTCCTTGGCTAATATCTCCAAGTTCGGGTGGGGTTCTGTCCCCGACTTTGCCTGGACATAAAAGATTCACATTGAAGGAATTCATTAAAAGAAACCACTTGGTGCTGTGAGGTTGTGGTTGGAATAATCATAAAATGTTTCTGCTGATTGGCAGGTAAGGGATGATCAATTATCAATTAAAATAAAAAGAAAGCATGTGAGGAGACGAGGAAGAAGAAGAGAGACCAGGCAACTCAGCCATGTGGGCAAATAAACTCTTCCAAGTAGTCCGTCTCCAGGGCAGTGGAGATGAGTGTTCCTTGGTGAACCCCACTCCTCACCACACAGCCAGAACCAGCCACATGCACAGTCAGGTCAGAGATGGGCACAGTCTGGAGGCAGAGACATTTGTTAAATTTCATGTAAGTCATGAAAATCAAAAGCTTTTTTCCTCTGCTAAGACATCAACTTAGAAATGTGTTTGGGGAGGGGAGTGAACAACCTTGGTGGGCACCTTGGTAGAAAGGTTTAGGGGCAAATTCTTTCTTCACAGTCAATCTTCTCTCTTCCAGAAAATTACTGTCTACAAAAAATATTGCCCTGATTTATCTAATTTAAAACGGGGTTTAACAGTAATTTAAAACAGCCTGTAATTGTAAAATGAGATCCGTAACTACTCACTAAACATGAGATTGGTGAAGTTACGTGGTGACGAACCCCTCTAGGTTGCTAAGACATTATTTAGATAAAGGGATTTAAAGTACATAAAGGATCCATAAAAGATGTACAAAGGGGATGGGAAACACCCCAAGTACTTAAACAGCTAACACGAAAGAGAATATGTTGAATATTCTGGAGGTTATGTTGTAGAGAACTGTTTTTCAAACACCAACAGTGAAACACTATCAATAAAATCTTGCAGTACCTGAAATACATAGAACTGATGAGGCCACCCCTGGTGGGGCTCCTCCCATGCCGCTGCTCCGCAGTTCCCTTGTGGAGCCCCCAGCACTGTCAGTGAAGCAGTTTGGAAATCACTGGGAGCCCCTCTTCAGCTGTTCTGCATAGACATGCAAGGCAGTCCAAGAGTAAATAAATTTAAAATGTGATAGGAGGAATGTGTGCTACAATGGAGAGCTTTAAAACATTGGACTGGAGCCCCAAACAGATTTCCAGTGGCTTCTAATTATCGATAAAAAGAAGTATAAAAAGCACCTCCTTTACAGCCCCAGGTAATTTGGCCTCAGGCTCTCTTTCCAACCCAACCTTCCGTGGCTCAGCCACTTCTCCATATACCAAGCTGGGACCCTGAGCTGCCCTGTCCTGCGCCCAGTCCACTCGTCACTTTCAAACACATAAAATGTGAGCTAAGATGTGCTACAAGAGTGAAATACACACTGGATTTTGAAGATTTGGTATGAAAAAAGAAGGCAGGCCAGGCACGGTGGCTCACACCTGTAATCCCAGCTCTTTGGGAGGTGAAGGTGGGCAGATCATCTGAGGTTACGAGTTTGAGATCAGCCTGGCCAATGTGGCAAAACCCTGTCTCCTCTAAAAATACACACAAAAAAATTAGCTGGGTGTGGTGGCACACAATTGTAGTCCCAGCTACTCAGGAGGCTGAGGAAGAAGAATCGCTTGAACCTGGGAGGCAGAGGTTGCAGTGAGCTGAGATCGTGCCACTGCACTCCAGCCTGGGCAACAGCAAGACTCTCTCCAAAAAAAAAAGAAGGCAAATATCTCAATGATTTTTAACCGGGTTGCATCATATGTTTGACATATTGGGTTAAATAATATGTTATTAAAATTAATTTTACTTATTTCTTTCTATTGTTTTTTAAAATGTGGCTCCTAGAAATTTAAATCACATGTGTTTTTTGCATCTGTGGCTGGCATTATACTTCTATTAGACAGTGCAGCTCTAACCCACGGATCACCACATCAAATGCCCACAGAGGCTGGCTGGTAACACACAGGCTGGCTGGCTCAGGGCTTCCTGGGGAGTGGTAGAGACCACGAAGAGCAAAAGAATGTGCCCATTCCATAGGGCAGGGCCCTCAGCACTGGACCATCATAGTGAGGCAGGAATGTGGGTTCCGCTGTTCCCAGACCTCCTCAGTTTTTAAGGAGCCGTTAGAAATCTGGATCATAAATGCATTTGGGAAGTGCCTATTCACATGTGTGTGTGAATTTTCAAAATTTTTAAATGTTGGCATCTACTCCATAATTTTAAAAATAAATGTAGCACAACATTGTTTAAGCGAAACAGGACATGTTGAGAGCCAAACCTGGCCCGCAGAGAGCCAGCATGCTCACTCCCTCTTTGCAAGGACTGTACTGGTCAGAGCCTTCCTCCTCAATAGCTGTGAGGGGCTCCCAGGCAGGCTGGCTCAAATCTTGGCATACTCAGAGCCTCATCTGTGACACCTATAGTCGAGCCAACACTTCTGCAAAATATCCATGTCTTGCTGGCAAAAGGAATTACTGAAAGTTCCCTTTTGTGCTGGTGCTGAAAGTAAAAAAAAAAAAAGTCGACACTGAAATGTTGGAACACAATTTTAAAATGAATCTTTAACCTAGAGCCATAGAACCCAGAGAGAATTTTGAACTCTTCCTTTCTCCTCACTGCCCAGGGGATAAGACTGCATGCAGAGGGAGAAGTGACTTAGAGTGTCACCATCTGTAAGTGGACACGCTGGGCCAGGCCGTATGTGTGCTGGTCCCAAAGCCAGGGCTGCTTTAGGATGCCATGTAGAAGTGGACATGCTGCTGAAACCCAACACCCTGAGTCATCAGATGGGAGTGACAATGGGTGAAATTATGAAACCATACGCTTCCCAGCGTCCTAGTTTTTGATGTATCTAGTACTTTAGAAATACTTGAGGTTTAAAAAAATTTTTTTTAATCTGGTGATTTAAAATATAACAGTTAAAGTTTTAACCCTGGTAGCTAAACTTCCTGTTCTGAGCCCTGCAGAACCATCTCCTTACGAACTGTCTGGAATCCAAAGATGGGCCACTGCCCAGAGGAAGCCCTGATGGGAGAGAAAGACACACCTGCACGCGGACTGGAAGCAGAGCTTCTCCTTCTTTGTATTTCTGTGCTGTGCTCACCTAAATAATTATTTATTTATTTATTTATTATTATACTTTAAGTTCCAGAGTTCATGTGCACAACGTGCAGGTTTGTTACATATGTATACATGCGCCATGTTGGTGTGCTGCACCCATTAACTCGTCATTTACATTAGGTATATCTCCTAACGCTATCCCTCCCCCCTCCCCCCTCCCCACAACAGTCCCCGGTGTGTGATGTTCCCCTTCCTGTGTCCAAGTGTTCTCATTGTTCAATTCCCACCTATGAGTGAGAACATGCGGTGTTTGGTTTTTTGTCCTTGCAATAGTTTGCTGAGAATGACGGTTTCCAGCTTCATCCATGTCCCTACAAAGGACATGAACTCATCCTTTTTTATGGCTGCATAGTATTCCATGGTGCATATGCGCCACATTTTCTTAATCCAGTCTATCACTGATGGACATTTAGGTTGGTTCCAAGTCTTTGCTATTGTGAATAGTGCCACTATAAACATATGTGTGCATGTGTCTTTATAGCAGCATGAGTTATAATCCTTTAGGTATATACCCAGTAATGGGATTGCTGGGTCAAATGGTATTTCTAGTTCTAGATTCTTGAGGAATCACCACACTGACTTCCACAATGGTTGAACTAGTTTACAGTCCCACCAACAGTGTAAAAGTGTTCCTATTTCTCCACATCCTCTCCAGCACCTGTTGTTTCCTGACTTTTTAATGATTGCCATTCTAACTGGTGTGAGATGGTATCTCATAGTGGTTTTGATTTGCATTTCTCTGATGGCCAGTGATGATGAGCACTTTTTCATGTGTCTGTTGGCTGCATAAATGTCTTCTTTTAAGAAGTGTCTGTTCATATCCTTTGCCCACTTTGTGATGGGGTTGTTTTTCTTTTTTCTTGTAAGTTTGTTTGAGTTCTTTGTAGATTCTGGATATTAGCCCTTTGTCAGATGAGTAGATTGCAAAAATTTTCTCCCATTCTGTAGGTTGCCTGTTCACTCTGATGGTAGTTTCTTTTGCTGTGCAGAAGCTCTTTAGGTTAATTAGATCCCATTTGTCAATTTTGGCTTTTGTTGCCATGGCTTTTAGTGTTTTAGACATGAAGTCCTTGCCCATGCCTATGTCCTGAATGGTATTGCCTAGGTTTTCTTCTAGGGTTTTTATGGGTTTAGGTCTAACATTTAAGTCTTTAATCCATCTTGAATTAATTTTTGTATAAGGTGTAAGGAAGGGATCCAGTTTCAGCTTTCTACATATGGCTAGCCAGTTTTCCCAGCACCATTTATTAAATAGGGAATCCTTTCCCCATTTCTTGTTTTTGTCAGGTTTGTCAAAGATCAGATGGTTGTAGATGTGTGGTATTATTTCTGAGGGCTCTGTTCTGTTCCATTGGTCTATATCTCTGTTTTGGCACCAGTACCATGCTGTTTTGGTTGCTATAGCCTTGTAGTATAGTTTGAAGTCAGGTAGTGTGATGCCTCCACCTTTGTTCTTTTAGCTTAGGATTGACTTGGAAATGCAGGCCCTTTTTTGGTTCCATATGAACTTTAAAGTAGTTTTTTCCAATTCTGTGAAGAAAGTCATTGGTAGCTTGATGGGGATGGCATTGAATCTATAAATTACCTTGGGCAGTATGGCCATTTTCATGATATTGATTCTTCCTATCCATGAGCATGGAATATTTTTCCATTTGTTTGTGTCCTCTTCTATTTCGTTGAGCAGTGGTTTGTAGTTCTCTTTGAAGAGGTCCTTCACATCCCTTGTAAGTTGGAATCCTAGGTATTTTATTCTCTTTGAAGCAATTGTGAATGGGAGTTCACTCATGATTTGGTTCTCTGTTTGTCTGCTATTGGTGTATAAGAATGCTTGTGATTTGTGCACATTGATTTTGTATCCTGAGACTTTGCTGAAGTTGCCTATCAGCTTAAGGAGATTTTGGGCTGAGACGATGGGGTTTTCTAGATATACGATCATGTCATCTGCAAACAGGGACAATTTGACTTCCTCTTTTCCTAATTGAATACCCTTTATTTCTTTCTCCTGCCTGATTGCCCTGACTAGAACTTCCAACACTATGTTGAATAGGAGTGGTGAGAGAGGGCATCCCTGTCTTGTGCCAGTTTTCAAAGGGAATGCTTCCAGTTTTTGCCCATTCAGTATGATATTGGCTGTGGGTTTGTCATAAATAGCTCTTATTATTTTGAGATATGCCCCATCAATACCTAATTTATTGAGAGTTTTCAGCATGAAGGGCTATTGAATTTTGTCAAAGATCTTTTCTGCATCTATTGAGATAATCATGTGGTTTTTGTCTTTGGTTCTGTTTATATGCTGGATTACATTTATTGATTTGCATATATTGAACCAGCCTTGCATCCCAGGGATGAAGCCCACTTGATCATGGTGGATAAGCTTTTTGATGTGCTGCTGGATTCAGTTTGCCAGTATTTTATTGAGGATTTTTGCATCAATGTTCATCAGGGATATTGGTCTAAAATTCTCCTTTTTTGTTGTGTTTTTTTTTTTTTTTTTTTTTTTTTTGAGACAGAGTCTCACTCTGTCACCCAGATTGGAGTGCAATGGTGCAATCTCGGCTCACTGCAACACCCGCCTCCTGAGTTCAAGTGATTCTCCTGCCTCAGCCTCCTGAGTAGCTGAGATTACAGGTGGCATGGCACCATGCCCAGCTAAGTTTTGTATTTTTAGTAGAGATGGGGTTTCACCATGCCGGTCAGGCTCGTCTTAAATTTCTGACCTCAAATGACCCACCCGCCTCTACCTCCCGAAGTGCTGGGATTACAAGCGTGAGCCACCGCACCTAGCCTCACCTAAATAATTTTTACATTTGAAGACTTTGTACTTTTTAAACAACAATAATAAACATAATTTTGAAATCCTAAGTACTATATGTCAGCATGTGGGAAGACAGCTAAAGTGTCCACTGTGAAAA
The DNA here is from genome assembly GCF_000001405.40 of Homo sapiens. NCBI lineage: Eukaryota > Metazoa > Chordata > Mammalia > Primates > Hominidae > Homo > Homo sapiens. Next base: position 159,363,782 of record NC_000006.12, read on the forward strand.
CAAGGAGAAAAGTGTGAAAATGTGCAAAAGAAAAAATAAATTAAAAACTGCTCTTTTTAGGAACAAAGGTGAAATGTAAGGGCTTGGAAATATGACTGCTGAGAAACTAGTACATTTTAGAAAAATTTTCATTTTCCAGCCTCCAGAGCATCTACCCCAAAGCTCCGCATCTGCTCAGCTCCTTTATGTGTTTTTGGTAAAGTGCACAGGTAGGATATTTTGGCTGCTCATGGCCAACAACATTGTCTCTGCTGTTCCCCTTCCCCTTTGTCACATTACAGCTGACAGTCACCCCATATGCAGGGGTCAATTGCCTGTCATCCCTCTATGGGAACAGCTTGCAGGGATAGTCTTCCCGCCCACCTGCTGACTCACGCAGGTCAGACACAAAGGTACAAGGACACAGAAATTATTGAAACACAGATGTGTCCTCCAGTGCCTGACACTGGATGCATGTGGGCAGTGGAAGAGAATCAAGGCTTGAAATGTATGGAATCAGAAAGTACTTCATAGAAAGTTCTTCCAACACCTGGCATGAAAAGCACGAGCTGAAGATTTAGTTCTCAAGTATACCTATTCCAAGTTAAAGCTCTCTCCTGTCAGGAATATACTCCATAATTCAGGGCATGACATTATAAATGTGCTGCACAGCTTTGTTCCTCTTTGGTGGGAATCACACAAAATAGAATTTATCAGAACATCTGTGTTTGAAGGGCACGGCCTGTTGCGGTATTGCAAAAAGTGAATCTGTCTGTAATAGCACCATGGGAGGGGAGCCCAGTGGAGATTTTCCAGGTTTGAAAATACTCCTAAAACTTTACACAGCATCATCAAAAATGACTTGGGAAGCTAACAGAAACTTTTCCTAACTGTCAATAGTAAAACAACCATGCTCAAGAGAGGACTGAAGTATCTTGATTTTCTCTATTAAATTGTCATCATAAGAAATGATCAGAATATGGGGCCAAAAATGCAAGGGAAGAGGTGTTATAGAGCCAGGTAGGTAATTAAATAAAAGCAGTGTAATATTTTTCCAGGTCTTATGATGTTTCATAAGACAGCTTTAAAAAATTATAATATATTGTGGCTTCTTTTCTCATTCTAAATTAATGTTTTCACTTTTGTAGTCATCTTTATGTTAAAACCTTACCACTCCTAAACTGTGTATGCTTCAGGCCCTACAAAAGCAGATTCACTCCTGTCTCTGGTTGAAAGAAGAGAATAATATTCAAGAGAAATGTGAAACAATTATTTTCCTGCTGGCAAAGGAGAAAAAAAATTAAGTAAAAAAAATTCTAACAACAAAATAACTTGAGGTGGGAAACTCCAAACACAGGTAGAATTTAGCAAAGAAACACAAATGCTCTGGGTCATACGTTTGCAGCCTCCCCCCTCAGCTCATGTCCTTCTAGCACCAACAGCTTTCCCAGATGCAGCTGGGATGACAGACACTGACCAGGCTCCTAGGAAATGTCAACAAGGTTCCTCATTCAGAACCTGGCTTCTCTCCCTGTAAGACTCAATCTGGAGCTCAAGGATGGAGAATGAAATCTCATCTCTGCCTTGCAGTCCTCAAAGATGGCCCATCTCCTACAGGCAGATGCTGTCTGCTATGGTTTGAATATGTCCCCCAAATCCTATATATTGAAATTTTAATTCAAAAATTTATATGTTGATGGAGGTGGGACCTTTGGGAGGTAATTAGGATTTGATATGGTCAACAAGGTGGGGCACCCATGATGGGACTGGTGGCTTTATAAGAAGAGGAAGAGTCCTGAGCTGACATGCATGCTCTTGCCCTCTTGACTTGTGATGCAGCAAGAAGGCCCTCACCAGATGCTAGTGCCATGTTCTTGGGCTTTCCAGCATACAGAACCATGAGTTAAACAAACTTACTTTCTTATAAATTACCCAGTCCATAGTCTGTGGTATTGTATTAGTCAGGATTCTCTAGAGGGACAGAACTAATAGGATATTGAAGCTGATTCAGAGCATACACAGCCTTCTGGAGAACTTTGCTCCAGACCTACAAAGTATTGTCACTTAGTTGGCATTGTAATTGTGACTTCAAAAGGCCATTCCACCATTTTATCAATCCAGCTGCTTCAGGATGATGGGGAACACGGTAAGACCAGTGAATTCCACGAGCATGAGCCCACTGCCACACTTCTTTAGCTGTAAAGTGAGTGCCTTGGTCAGAGGCAATGCCATGTGGAATACCATGATGGTGGATGAGGCATTCCATAAGTCCACAGATGGTAGTCTTGGCAGAAGCATTGTGTGCAGGATAGGCAAACCCATATCTGGAGTAAGTGTCTATTCCAATGAGGACAAACCTCTGCCCTTTCCATGATGGAAGAGGTTCAGTATAATCAGCCTCTCACCTGGTAGCAGGCTGATCACCCCAAGGAATGGTGCCATATCAAGGGCTCAGTGTTAGTCTCTGTTGCTGGCAAATTGGGTACTCAGCAGTGGCTGTAGCCAGGTCAGCCTTGGTGATTGGAAGTCCATGTTGCTGAGCCCCTGTGTAACCTCCATCCCTGCCACCATGGCCCCTTTGTTCATGGGCCCATTGGGTGATGACAGGGGTGGCTGGGGAAAGAGTCTGAGTGGTGTCCACAGAATGGGTCATCCATCCTATCCACTTGATTATTAAAATCCTCCTCTGCTAAGGTCACCCTTTTGTGAGCACTCACATAGGATACAAATATCTTCACAGTTTTTGACCACTCAGAGAGGTCTATCCACATACATCTTCCTCAAATTTCTTTGTCACCAATTTTCCAATCATGCTTCTTCCAAGTACCTGACCATCCAGCAGCCAAACCATTGGCTACAGCCCATGAATCAGTATATAATCGCACATCTGGCCATGTCTCCTTCCATGCAAAGTGCACAACGAGGTACACTGCCTGAAGTTCTGCCTACTGGAAAGATTTTCCTCCACCGCTGTCCTTCAGGGATGTCCTAGAAAGGTACTGTAGCATGAACTCAAACAAATTTACAAGAAAAAAACAAACAACCCCATCAAAAAGTGGGCAAAGGATATGAACAGACACTTCTTAAAAGAAGACATTTATGCAGCCAAAAAACACATGAAAAAATGCTCATCATCACTGGCCATCAGAGAAATGCAAATCAAAACCACAATGAGATATCATCTCACACCAGTTAGAATGGCAATCATTAAAAAGTCAGGAAACAACAGGTGCTGGAGAGGATGTGGGAAATAGGAACACTTTTACACTGTTCATGGGACTGTAAACTAGTTCAACCTTTGTGGAAGTCAGTGTGGCGATTCCTCAGGGATCTAGAACTAGAAATACCATTTGACCCAGCCATCCCATTACTGGATATATACCCAAAGGATTATAACTCATGCTGCTATAAAGACACATGAACACGTATGTTTATAGCGGCACTATTCTCAACAGCAAAGACTTGGAACCAATCTAAATGTCCATCAATGATAGACTGGATTAAGAAAATGTGGTACATACACACCATGGAATACTATGCAGCCATAAAAAAGGATGAGTTCATGTCCTTTGTAGGGACATGGTTGAAACTGGAAACCATCATTCTCAGCAAACTATCGCAAGGACAAAAAACCAAACACTGCATGTTCTCACTCAGAGGTGGGAATTGAACAATGAGAACACATGGACACAGGAAGGGGAACATCACACACCGGGGACTGTTGTGGGGTGGGGGGAGGGGGGAGGGATAGCATTAGGAGATATACATAATGCTAAATGACGAGTTAACGGGTGCAGCACACCAACATGGCACATGTATACATATGTAACAAACCTGCACGTTGTGCACATGTACCCTAAAACTTAAAGTACAATAATAATAAAATTAAAAAAAAAAAAGAAAGGTACTGTAGCACTGCAGCTCTCCACTTTTGCATGGTGCCTGCATATTCTGCAGAAACATCTGTGAACCAGGTCCTAGTCTTCTCTTCCTCTGTCAACTGATCATAGGGAACTCTCCATGAAGCCATCGGTGCAGACTGGTGGCGAGAAGGCAGGAGTGTAGACCATAGGCATTTGAGCCACTTCCTCATGTAACTTGCTTGTGCTTTCAGGACCTGTTTGAGCCCGATCATGTGTATACCACTTCCATTTGATGAAGGAATGCTGCTGTGCACAACCTACCTTATGGCTAGATGGGCCAGAAAGGATCCAGTTCATGATAGACAGTTCAGGTCACATGGTGACTTGATGATCCATAGTCAAACGTTCAGTTTCCACCAAAGCCCAGTAACAAACCAAGAACTGTCTCCCAAAAGGAGAGTAGTTATCTGCAGAAGATGGCTGGGCCTTGCTCCAAAATCCTAGAGGCCTCTGCTATGATTCACTTAAGGGGGCCTACCAAAGGCTCCAAAGGGCATCCTTATCTGCCACTGACACCTCAAGCACCATTGGATCTGCTGGGTCATATGGCCCAATAGGCAGAGCAGCTTTCCCAGCAGTCTAGACCTGTTGCAGAGCCTTCTCCTGTTCTGGACCCATTTCAAACTGGCAGCCTTTTAAGTCACTCGATAAATGGGCTGGAGTAACACACCCAAATGAGGAATGTGTTGCCTCCAAAATCCAAATAGGCCCACTAGGCATTGTGCCTCTTTCTTGGTTGTAGATGGAGCTAAATGCAGCAACTTATCCTTCACCTTAGAAGAAATATCTTGACAGGCCCCACACCACTGGACCCCTAGAAATTTTACTGAGGTAGAAGGTCCTTAAATTTTAGTCAGATTTATTTCTCATCCTCTGGCATGCAAATGTCTCACCAATAAGTCCAGTGTGTTTACTGCTTCTTGATCACTGGATCGAATCAGCATAATGTCATCAATATAATAGACCAGTGTGATATCTTGTGGAAATGAAAAGCAATCAAGTTCTCTCTGAATAAGATTATAACACAAAGCCAGAGAGCTGATATGCTCCTGAGGTAGGATGGTAAAAGTATATTTCTGGCCTTGCCAGCTGAAGGCAAATTGTTTCTGATGGGCCTTATGGACAGGAATGGAGAAAAAGGCATTTGCCAAGTCAGTGACTGCATACCAAGTACCAGGAGATGTAATTTGCTCAAGCAATGAAACCACATCTGGTACAGCAGCTGCAATTGGAGTCACCACTTGGTTAAGCTTATGATAATCCACTGTCATTCTCCAAGAGCCATCTGTCTTCTGCACAGGCCAAATATGAGAGTTGAACAGGAATGTGGTGGGAATCCCCACCCCCGTGTCTTTCAAGTCCTTGATGGCGGCACTAATCTCCGCAATCCCTCCAGGGATGCAAATTGTTTTTAATTTACTGTTTTTCTAGGTAGAGACAGCTCTAGTGGTTTCCATTTGGCCTTTCCCACCATAATAGCCCTCACCCTACCAGTCAGGGATCCAGTGTGAGGGTTATGCCAGCTGCTATGTGTATCTATTTATGTCCAATTATGCATTCTGACACCAAAGAAATGACCACAGGATGAGTCTGGGGACCCACTGGACCCACTGTAGGTTGGACCTGACCTAAAGCTCCATTAATTTACCTGACCTCCATAAGCCCTTACTTTAACTGGAGAACTACAATGATGTTTTGGGTCCCCTGGAATCAGTGTCAGCTCAGAGCCAGTGTTCAGTAGTCCCCAAAATGTCTGATCATTTCCCTTTCCCCAGTGCACAGTTACCCTGGTAAAAGGCCAGAGGTCTCCTGGGAAAGGATGGGAGAAAGATTAGCAGCATAAATTGTCAGTAGTGTAGTGGGGTCCTTGCTTAACGGGAACCAGCTTTCCCTTCATTCAAGGGGTTCTGGGTCTGTAAACTGGCTCAAGTCTGGAAATTGATTGAGGGGTTTTGATTCTCTGTTTCTGTAATTCAAATTAGTTTTTTTCCATTCAACCTGAAAGGTTTCTGCTTATATAAATTAAGTGGGAATGCAGTAGGCTTCCTATCAATTTCACTTCTAGGAATATCATGATTAATTAGCCAAAGCTACAGCTCTACATGAGTCAGACTATTCTGATTGCTGCTTTGCCTCTGCTGTCCATTATGGTAGCTATGCCCACCTTGCCTGTGATGTTTCAGTGCTGACACTTGGCCCCTGCAACCTCAGGATCCAATTATTCCCATTGCATTTAAATTTTGTAGTTGAGTGACTGTGGTTCCCACTGTTAGATCTGACATACAGAGAAGGGCAATTACAGGGCTCTTCAAAGATGCAGATGCTGCCCTCACAAGTCTATTTCACAAAGCATTGGTTAAGGGTACATCTTCTGGGCCCTCCCAGCTGGGTTGAGTAGGTCTAAAGTGACTAATCCACTCCACCATCCCAATCTCCCTAAGCCTTTGGATCCCTTCCTCTACATTAAAGCAAGGGAGATCAGGCATTTCCAGCTTGCTCACAGTGGGCCATCTTTTAATCCATATTTCAGCTAACCAAGCAAATTAACTCTTAAAACCTTTTTCAAGTCCCCAAGCTGCAACAATAAATGCAGAATCCCTACTTAGTGGGCCCAAATCAATAAATTCAGCCTGATTTAACTCTATGTTCCACAATTATCCTACACCTTAATATCCACTCCCATGCCTATTCTCCAGATTTCTGCTTATATAGATTAGAAAACTCAAGCAGTTCTTTCTGAGTGTAGTGCACTCTGAACCTCACCTCTAGGGGCCTGCCAGGACTTTAGTCTAGTTATAGGTCTAGAAGCAAACAGGGCCATTGTGGGTGGCTTCTGAGGAGAATCAACACTATCTTGCCTGGCAACTGCCTCAGGGAGGCAATCAGTGTTGCCTCAGGCAGTGCAGGGTTTATCTCCTCAGACAAAGGTGAAAAGGTTGATGGCAGTGTGGGTCAGGGAGGGGATGTTGCCACTACCGGGGATGGGGAAGCTGTTTCTTCTGTCAAAAAATATTCACCAGCATTTACAAGCTAAGTGTCCTGAGCTTCTCAGGGTCCTCCCACACGTCCCCATTCCAAGTGGCAGGGTCCCATTCTTATCCAGTGAATGCTGTCAATTTAACAGTAGACACCTTGCGAGGCTGTGCATCCACCTCTTGTTGTAGGTCAGCCACTTGCATGGTATGAGCTTGTGCCTGTTTTTCCACAATTTCAGCTCTTTCTCTACAGGAGATAAGATTCTCACTCAGGGAAGTCTTAGCAGATTTAAGGCTCCGTATCTGCTTCTGAAGCCAAGAGTTAGAATCCCTGAGTTCATAATTTTCTTTCATCACTTTGTCCAGTGAACTTTGGAACAACCAAACAGCTTCATTATGTTCCCTGGTTCTCCACATATGGTCAAAGCTGTTATGTATAAAGTCACTAAACCTCTTGCCTCTCATGAGCAGTAAATAAGGAGTGTCACATGAAATTATTTTGTATAACTTTCTAAACAGTTCATGTCAAGGACTATCAGTGTTCTCCATATTATTAGAAGTAGAATCCTTAACATTTTTGGGTCAAATCATATTAAGCAGCCAACTCCAGAAACCCCAAAACCAACAAAAGAACTCTATCCTTAATATTCTGTTCCTCTAGAACCACTCCTGGTACCAAAATCTGTATTAGTCAGGGTTATCTAGAGGGATAGAACTAATAGGATATATATATAAAGGGGAGTGTATTAAGTGGTATTAACTCGCACAATCACAAGGTCCCACAACAGGCCATCCACAAGCTGAGGAGCAAGGAAGCCAGTCCCAGTTCCAAAGGTGAAGAACTTGAGGTCTGATTTTTGAAGGTAGGAAGCATCCAGCACGGGAGAAAGATGCTGGCTGGGAGGCTAAGCCAGTCTAGTCTTTTCGCATTTTTCTGCCTGCTTTATATCCTGACCACATGGGCAGCTAATTAGATGGTGCCCATCCAGATTAAGGGTGGGTCTGCCTTTGCCAGCCCACTCACTCAAATGTTAATCTCCTTTGGTGACACCCTCACAGACACATCCAGGATCAATACTTTGCATCCTTCAATCCAATCAAGTTGACACTCAGTTTTAACCATCACAAGTATGCTGTTATAGTAGCAGAAAACAGACTGAGACACTATTCTTCATGAACAAATGGGGAGCAACAGACCCAGGGTCTGAGGGTCTTGTGGCTTGTGTTTCTTTTTCCCACCATGAGAATGAAATTGTCCTGAGCCACTGACAGTCTTCCACTACTGGTTGTACAATGACTGTCCATGTTACGCATATAGTATTCTTTCCAGCCCTGGCCCTATCAATAATATATCTGGTTTGTTCATAAATCATGCATTGGGTGATTTATTAATGTAAGGAGAAACTAAAACAGGTTTCCAGAACAAGGATAAGGATTTCCCTCTGCCCTGCCCATGTCACCCACTACTGGTCCTTATTTGATATTCGTCTTGTCTTGCTAACTCTAGACCATGGCTCTGATGCCAGCTTCTGGCCCCGCTTCTGTCTTGGTGACTCTCTAAACTCCATTCCCGGCTTAGAAACCCTGGTTTTCCTATGCTGAGTCTGCCTTCATGCCCTATTGCCACCCAGAGATAAGACCTCATGGTCCTGCAGAGGTCCCCGTGCCTCAGAGTCTCCTGGGCTTCCACCTTCTCTCCTGTCCTCTATATGTCCTTGTCCTTGTTCTTCTTGGAGCCTCATTGCTGCAAAACTTTTTTCTCCTGTCAGTTTCTCCCTAGTCTTCCTGTTCTGACTGATTCTGATGTTGATTTTTGGCTCCAGAGTCTACAGCCTTATCCCTCCTCTATGCTAGGCCAGCTCCCAGAACCCAGGCCAAGTCCAGATCCCTGGAGACCCATTGCCACACAAAGGAATTTGAAGTCCAGCTTTGCTTTTTCCCTCCAAATGAACTTGCATGTTATGTTAGATAAAAGACCCACACTCTAGCCCGACTCTGCAGTCTCACAGGTTCACCTTTCCAACAAAGGTGCGAGGTCAGGGTTTGGTGACTAAGTGTAGCAGGCTAGAACAGTTGGAAGTTATCTGGCCCAACACTCAGCCTGTCGCTGTGGCATCACTAGCACCCTATAGTAACCTTTGTTAACCAGACCCCTGGGTTCAGCCTGTTAGCCTCCCTCTTGGTCTGAGAAAACAACCAGCTACCCAAGATCAAGAATGCCACGTGCAAAAACTAGCAAGAGATCATGTATTCTGCTGGCCTCATTACCTGATTTAACCCTTGTCTAGGAGCATCTGTGTGAAGGCCAGGCCTGAGAAAGTGGTCACACACACATGGATCCCTTCATCTTTCTTTACTTTTAGGTGGTGATTTTTTTTTCTTGGTATTTCAGAATGAGGAGGTCTTTCAAATGGCTGGTGTCTTAAACCCTTCAAAACAATTTGTTTAAAATAAACTTAATTTAAACAATTTTGTATGAAGCAAATTAGGCAGAAATGATATTTTGATAGTGAAATGTGAGTAATTTCCTAAACATAGCACTTTGTCCATTGCGGAAATGTTTTCCAGTTTTTCCTGAGACCTCAACAGTATGTCAGCAGAAATTGCAACATCACGAAGGCGATTTTAAAAGGCTGGGCCATCAGATGTCATATCTGAGAAATACAGTTAAAAGGCTGGTGAAGAATTAAGGATTCTATGATTCCAACTGGAAACACTGAAATCTCCAAATTCTTCATTTCAACTGGATTCCAACCAAGTGAAAACACATTGAGAAATTAGGCCTTGCTCTAATCAGACAGAGGTAAGTTGAGAAGTATAGAGTGGTGGGAGGTAGCAGTTTCCTGGATGACAAAGTTCCTGGGCTCTCTCTGGGCTTCTGTGGTGGTGAGACTTGCCTAGAATTGCCACCATTCACAAGCAAGTATCTAAGGCCACCTCTGGTCCCAGGAGCACAGGCCAAAGGGAAAGTGCCAGAATGGGTTGGCCTGTGTTCACGCCCATGTTCGGTCCTGAGTTCTGTCTGAATCAGTGATCCCAATAAGCGGGCCGCATGGGGGCATGGCTGTCCTCCAAAGACTTCAGTCATTAAAGTTGTATGGTGTTCCCTTAAATCATCCAGTTACTCACTCACTTTGAATTGATTATGCATTAATTACTCTAAGTCTTGAGTAGACGCATACCTTGAACAGATGCATACACCATGTCTAATTCCTCCTCTGGACACATGAGGGCTCCAAGATCCTGGTTCCACTTGGGATATGATATCTCCAAACCCAGACCTGGACATGGGTGGAGGTAGGGGACCGGGAGCAGTACTTGATCACTGGATGCAATGAAGCAGCCAGTGGGAGTCAACATGCCCTGCATAAGCTAAACAAAAAGACAGGCACACGGTCTAACTGCGTTCCTGATCAAACGAGGAGGGCAGGAAAGCCGTGCTCAGGTAGGAGGCAATGGGAGAGAGACTCAGGAAGAGTGAGGTGGTTCTGAGCAAAGAGTGAGAGAGACAGTCTTGAGAAATAAAGAATTCACAAGCAACTTCTCAAATAAACAGCCTTTTGTAGCCTCATCAACATGTGACTACAGAATAAACTGCACTTCCTTTTAATGTCATGGTTATACAATGAAGTCCCCTAGCGTTACAATGGCCAGTAATAGCATATAGCACCCTCTGATTACATCTCCCTAGACAATTTTTTTAACATGTCTTAAAACATGCTACAAGATACTATTATACTTGTATTAGTTATCTGCTTCTGTAATCACAAGATAGTGATTTAAAACACACATTTACTATTTCATAGTTGCTGTGAGTCAGGAATCCACGCACACCTTACTTGGGAGCCTTGTCTTCAGGGTCTGTCACAGGCTGCAATCTGGTTATCAGCCAGGGCCAAGGTGTCTGGGAAAGGCTCGACTGAGTGAGGGTCCACACAGCTCAAGTGGCTGTGGGCAGGATTCAGGTCCTTGCCACATGGGACTCTCCACCATGGCTTCTTGAGACCAAGTGGAGAAGGCAGGAGAGATTGCTGGCAAGACAGCAGTCACAGTCTTGTATATCCTCATCATGGAAGTGACATGCCACCACCTTTGCCACATCCTGTTGGTTAGGAGCAAGTCACAGGTTCACACTCAAGGGGAGGGCATAGCACAGCCGTGAATGCCAAGGTGGGTTCATCCAAGCCATTTCACAAGCTGCCTACTGTGCTGGGCTGCCAGGATAAACCCCTACATCTCCTGCTTCCCTGCCTTACCCTCATTGCTGCCTTGATGCCACCTTGGCTGCAGTGACCCTAGGGACGTCCCCACACTTGTGCCTGGAGCTCCCAGAGCCCGTGACAGATTGGGCTCTGCCCGAAACACACTTCACCAAGAGCCTCTGAGTTTAGGAAAGCACACCTCGCAGCATAGCTGCGGCTGCTCCCGAAGGGCCTTCTCCTGGGGTCCACACGCAGCCCCAGCCTGGCCCCAGGGTTGCTCTCCCAGGAGCTCCTACCTGCATCCTAGCCCACACCCTCGTGGAGCTGCTCACAGTCCAGCCGCTCTCCCTGCCCCTTCCCCTCCCGCTCAGGTCTTCCCTTCCTGACCTCCCTGCCCTGCCCCGGGGCTGAGCTTTTCCTCAATGGCTAAGGCTGGGAACATCCCTCCCACGCCCACCCGGCGTGCGTGATTGGTGGTCACTGAGGATCACCGTCCTCCAAACGCGACGATGCAAGACGCTCTGGAATCACCCGTCCTCAGTCCCCCAGTCCTACGGTTCACCGAGGATGTCATGGCCCCAGGGGGTGTGGTGATGTTCAGCGCCTTTTGGTATTCTATTCTTTCCTCCAGAGTCGTGGGGAGGACACCAGCCAGATGTCCCTGCGGGTCTCCTCAGCTCCTGAGCTCCTGGGAGTGAGAAGAAGTTTCCTGGCATGGGCAGCCTAATTCCAGGAGGGAACGGTCCTGGGAAATGCCCAGTCCACACCATGGGACACGGCGCCTCGGCCCGAAGCTTCATTATTTGGGTGATTTCGCTGCATGCAAGGTTTGGCCATCCCCCCGGGACCAAAGGGAGATTGGAAGATATCCTCATACCTACCTCAGAAGGCAAAACCTCTTTAGGGCTTAAAATGTCTGCCTTTCCAGCTTCAAAATAATGCGAAGTCACATCAGGCGCCTTCTGCAGGCCCGGAGCGCAGGGAGGGGCAGTCAGGAGGCCTGGTTCTGTTGTCCTGTTGAAGAGCAGATGCTGTTGATGTGCTTTTTGTGAGATAAAGCAGCCCTGCAACATGCTTAGGTTCCCTTTATTTCTTCCGAACTTCATGAGGCACTTTCTCCTGCTGTTCCAGGATGGAGTGAAGGCGCCTAGCAGCCACCGTGCACCTGGCTCCAAGCTCAGTCAACACTTCAACCGGCCATCACCATCCCTGCTGGGGAGGAGGGCAGAAGCCACGGTGGGGGCAGGTGCATGTGTCTCCCTGTGGGTCACAGCAGTCCTCCTCCCCGAGATGCTGACATCTCCCACCCATGCTGAGACCCCGGCATTAGGGAGGAAGATGTGTGTGATGGGTGCAGAGGTGACAGCACCTGACCCAAGCCTGCCCCCACTTCCCATCGCCCCACAGTGCACAAGGCAATTTCCAGGTTGCCTTCTGTGGCGTGTGTCACTTGGGTGGGGGCAGGACGGGTAGAAAGATGAAGAGGAGGCAGGGATTCTGGTCTGAGGTCTGCCTGATGGAAGGGCCAACACCACTTTTCAGGAGGTCCCCAGCCCTGGCTGTGTGAAAGGCTGAGAAGGCAGAGAATCTTGCTGGTGAAGGGTGGGAGAATAATTTTTCTTGCTTTAGCTTGGTCTGTGAAAAATTAAACAATGTCAGATGAAAACACTGCCAAGCACAAGTTTATGCACTTCAAAGAATTTTTATTTTTTCAATCAGAGGAGACATGAAATCCCAGACTCTAGACTCTCTATTTCAGTTCCAAATTGTCAAAGTGCTGATGTTGCAGTCTTTCCTCGAGTTTGTTTGGAGAAAGCAGCAAACGTATGAAAAGGAAAAACTGTATTTTACCCAAATGAGCTCCCTGAATTTGTAGAGTGTATGATTAAGTGGAGCCTTGTTGGAACAAGAATCATTTTACATTCCTAAAGGGTGATTCTTTGCAACTCTTTGGTCTCAGAACTGGCAAGACCCTGGACGAATGATGGGAAGAAGAATTCAAAAATAATAGAGAATCTGGGGCTTACTGTGGGAAGGATGGCCGGCGGGCACTGCATGGATGCTGGCTGACTCTGTTAGCCCCCATGACACCGGCGTGGATCAGGGTCATGCCTTAGGCAGGCAGCCCTGCCCTGGGGGATCCTAGAGGACAGACCCGGGGTGGTAGATCCCACTCATCCCCAGCCGGGTGCCCTGTGCAGAGAACAAATGCAAAGCTCTCCTGAGGTCCCTGCATCTCCCTGTTATTAAACTTCCTGTCTGCATATCCACCAAGCACTCCCTGGCATGTGGACTGCTAACATGAAATTCCTTCCTTCCACAAGCACTAAACTAGAACCTCTAGGGGCTGGTCAGCGTCTCTAGGGAATTATGGGGGAAATAGATATGCAAACGACGGCACCTGGAGAGGAAAGGGTACCCTGAGGCACCTTCCAGAGGGACGTCTCTAGATCCTAGCTCAAGGAGCTGCAGGGGAGGGCAGCATGGGTGTCAAAACCGAGTTTGGAAGGGTGACCAGGAGTTTGCCAGTAGACAAGGAAAGGAAGGCATTCCAGGCAGAGCAGGAGCCTAGCACAGGCAAAGCAGGAGCAACACGCTTTAGGCAACACCATTAGAAAGTCTGTGTGTTTTGGAAAGTCCTCGGCATGTAACACTCTTCATACTTTTATTTCTAAGTGGCTTTTCTTGGGAAATAAAAAAGACTCTAGTGATGTGTAATTGCTGTGTAGGCCTCTTAAAACTCAAGGAAACATTCAATGAATAATTTTGCTGGGGTCAAAGAGAAAAAACCAGAACCAAAAAAAAAAAAAAAGAAAAAAGAAAATTAACGGAAGTAATGGCACTGAGCCTGTCCTCAGGGCACTTCCGGTCTAATGAAGAACAGCTGTGAGAACACACCACATGCTGCTGTTTGTGGCCTGTTCTAGGAGTATGGTCAGGGAGGCGAGGTGCCCCAGAACCCTGGAGAAGCAGGGGAGGCTCCCTGGGGACCAGCAGAGGCCAGGCTTGAAATGGCTCCTAAAGAAAGTGTGGGAGTGGTCAGGGAAACCTCTGTGGGTGGGGTAGATTCAGACGGAGGGCTCCTTGGTGTCTGAGGTATGGCAGGTGTGGGTGAGCACAGGTGGGAAGGAGGATGGGAAGGGGAAGGGACAGAGGTCAGGGAAGAGGTGACGAAGGTGAGATTAGGAGGGTAGCCAGCCAGGCATTGAGGGTGGAGGAGCCAAACCAATGCGTTGGATTTTATGCTATGTCAGTGGAGGGCCAATGAAGGATTTAGTCTGAGGAGTAGCAATAGCGGCTTTAAAAAACAGTGTGCATTGCTCTTTTCTTGAGTATAAAGTAATGCATGCTCATTGAAGAAAACATGGAGCATGTAGAAAGCACTAAGAAGAAAGTTAAAATGCAGAAAATTTAAGATAAATAAGAACTCACAATCCCATTATCTGAAAGAATGATAAGCACATCAAACTGTGAGCATTTGGTCTTTTTCCTCCTGTCTTCCAGAGATACCATAGTTGACATTGTTGGCAGAGGATGAGAAGAGAGACCACTGAGAGACCGCCCTACCAGTCAAGGTGAAAGGTGGAGCTGGGGCAGGAGTTCAAACATAGAATTTTCAGCAGGTTACCAAGTAGTCATGGTTTGGCTGAAGGTCTGCTGACTTTCTTCCCAGTGAAGAAAATGACATTAATATGCAGTGTTATCTGAGAAATTCAAAAATATTGTGAAACTGTGCTCAACAGCCAGAAGCTATTACTCATCTTTTCATTGGTTTCCTTTTCATAATGTTTAAAATATTAGCCTAAAGAAGGGAGAGCACAGAATTAAGTGGTAAGAAATCTACGGATCATGAAAATCGTTAATGGCCTTGAGGGACTGTATTGCTTTCTTATTCCTGGAGACGGGGAGTTTTAATCTCTCATCCCTGTCCTCGTCTCACGCGACCCTGGTGATTTCAGAATTACAACATGTTTTGACCCCCAGAACTCTCTACAGTGCTGGAAGGAAAGGATTCTTGAAATGAGCCAGAGCTGGTTTAGGAGAAAACCGAGACCCTGAGAGGTAATGAGATGTGACCAGGGGTCCCAGACCAGCTGGAAGAGAGAAGGGGGCGAACCTCAGCCTCACAACCTCCAGGTTCATCCCTTGTCTCTCTCATCATGACATCAATCCCACATCTCCTATTGATGCCCCACAAATTTATTTGCAGTAGGTAGAAACATGCCTACTCATGATTACTTAACTATCACAGGAATTAAAGGCGAGGCTAATACTGCAAATCACTTCAGTATGCTGTGCTTGGCTTCAGAAAAACCCAATGTACAGAAACAACTATAAGTCATTTTTTGCAAGACTTAGTTTTACAAAAACTATTTGTTGGAAGTAATCATTCTCATTTTAAGAGAGAAAGAGAGGGAAAGAGGGACAAATGTACTGCCAGAGGAAAGCTATTTTATCTACCTCTTTACTTACTTTTTATTTGAGAAAATTTCAAGCACACACCAAGCAAAAGAGAATAGTCTAATGAGCCCTCACGCACCCTTTGTCCAATGGCTATCAACATTGTGCCAATCCTGACTTTAGAGAGCTTTTAAAATACAGTTTAATCCACAAAGATTGTATTTACAATCAGCTTTTCATGTTCAAATCTACTATGTAAAGAAAGATGTTTTAATTTATTTCCTGATCTGAATGGACAGGAAGATTATATTTCTCAGTTGGTTCTTCACGGGTTTGTCTGTTCTCAGGGGACTCTGAGCACACATTCCAAGCCACAGATGGAGAGAGCACCTGGTCCTCCCTAGATGCCACTCCTGACAGCCCTGAGATGCTGAATAGGCTGCCACTGTCTGGAGTCATGTGCAGGATGGGGAGAGCAATGGGCTGCAGCCAGGAATGCCAAGATGTAGCCTTGGCTTTGCTGCTGAGGTGACCTGTGCAATCTGCTGGTCATTGGTGCTCCTGATGGGTCTCTCCAGGGACTTTAATTCTTTCACTCACAGACCATGAGTAACTGAGTCTGATGAGTGCCGCTGGTTTCCTGGAGAGGCGATTACTGATGACAGTGTACCCTGCTGTGCTGGGTGTGGGCACTGTGTGTCACCACCATCACCTGTTCTGGGATTGCCACAATGCGCATCACTACCTAGCGTGTTTGTTTGTCACTTTGTTTATTCTGTTTCGTTTATTGTCCAACTCTTCCAACCAAACACATATTCCTTGGATGTGGGAGATGCATCTTTCTTGTTTACCATTGAATCTCTATGAAAATCCACACCTCAGTTAGCTCACTGTCTGGTGGACCAGGTGGGATGCCGCTTACAAAAACACCCAGTGCACTCAGCTGCAGGGTGTTTTTATGGTGTTGCTGTAGCTGGCTCTTGACTTGCTAAGCCTTGTGCTTTCCAGATGTTTACCCAAAAGCATAACTGGGAGAGGAGTCCAGCCATCAGCTTCCCTCTCTTCCAGTTGGCAAGCTCTTCTAGGGCTTTCACTGAATCCTTGGACTTCCTGAGCTGTCCCACCCCACAGGAGACCTGGAGTCACTGCATGTCTCACAGACAGCCAATTAGTATTTATTCAGGAAGTGCCTTTGCTATTTAGAGTTTATAATATATCCCCCAGTTCCACAAGGAAGCCTGTGTATTTGGGGAAGGTACCGATGGCGGATTCTATCTTCCAAAGGTGGCTGAACCAATGCATTTTCCATCCCACATACTCTTAATATTATTGGACTCATCTCCAAAGAAAGGTGGTATCTACATTCCCTCCCCTTGAGCCAGAGAAGTCCTTTATAACTGACTTAGCCAGTGGAGCTCAGTGGACTCAATGCTGCAAGCCTACCAAAGCTGGGCAGGGAAAGGCACACAGCTCTTCCAGGCTCTCTCTCTTTCTCTGGAGGGTCACCATGTTGTGAGGAAGCCCAGGCCACATCAAGAACTCACATGTCAGTGTTCTGACTCAAGGCCTCAGGCCCAACCAGCAGCCAGCATCAACTAGCAGATATGAGAGTGATGACCCCCCCCAAGGATTTCAACACGCTGCCTTTGAGTCTTCCCTCGAAGACCCCAGAAGTCATGGGGCAGAGACATGCCACTCCTGCTGTTCCCTACCTGGATTCCTGACTCTCAGACACCGTGAGAAATAATAAAAGATGACTGTTGTTTAAGCTTCTGCATTTTGGGTCATTCGCTATGCAGTAACAATTAATACACAGACTTCTTGAGACTCTCTTTTCACTCACCGTAAGAAACACTGGCGATGAGTGGCTGGCCATCTAGTTAGAAGAGGGGTCTAGGGAATTTGCATTGCAGCTATGCTTGTGTACCAAGCATTACTGGAGAGAGGTCACCATGGAGATGCTACTACTTGGCATCTTGATGCCTGTGCAAACATTTCTGCAATTTACTAATCCCATACATGTTATTTAGTAGCCCTTCCATAACTTTGTAAAGGTGCAATACAAAGCTCTTTGAGTTATCCCTAACAATAGTTAAATAAGCTACCACCTGGAAAAATTGGCATATTCTTGAATCCACAATATTACTGGAGTTCCCTAATGGATAGAAGTGGACCCACCCCATCCCCATTCCTATCCTCACACACTGAACCTCAGATTGTGTAAATGATAGAAAGGATGCCAGCTTCTTCTTTAGAAGTTCAAGTCATTTTGGGGACTGGCTTCAAAACAACAAACAATCCTGTTTTTGGAGCCCAACGCTGTCATGATCTCCAACATTTTGTGTTAACGTTGTGCCTCTGGAATAAAACAGGAGGGGCAAGCAGGACGTCACAATAGCAGTGAAGACTCTTCTGAGAAGAAAGGGCTTCACAGAATGAGTTCTGTGGGTGCCTGCAAGTCTCCTTGCTTGTTGAGCAGCTGCAGGGCACAGGGAAGCGCCATCTGGGTATTCACCAAGTTTTGTAAACAAACGGCCTTCCACGCACTGGCAGGACACACTCCGCAGCAGATCTTGAAAGCTCGCTCCCCTGGAGACTTTCCCTAGGAAAGTGACGAGACTTTTCCAAAGGAGTTAAACTTAATGAAAAATGGGTTAGGAACGAAACAGCTTTGAAGAGGGATAGAAAGAATGGAGCAGTGTGTTATTTAGAAAGCTTTCTTCCTCAAGGACCGCCTTGCTTGCCCTATGATTCTCGTAGCTTCTCCTGCCACATTTTCCCCCACCACCCCCACCACCCCTCAAGCCCAGGAGCTGTGTTATTTCTGGTCCACCTTTGAATGAACTGGGATAAAAATACCTGGCTTTGCAAGTGTCACACTGATCTGCCGATGTAAGTACAGTAGATCAAAGAGAAAGATAGGGTTACGCACTTTCTAGGAAACGTTTGAAAACTTGCCATTGTTCCTGAAAATTTCGGGACTGCTTTCAATGTGTGAAAATGAAGAGGGAAAGTTTAGAGCTTCAGAAAAAATAAAAGGTAAATTTAGGGCTGGAGGGTGAAGTATTTGCCTTTGTAGTATTTTTATATTTAAATGATTATAGTGATCTTGCTCAGTAGGCTTGTTTCTCTATGATAAAGTTGTGGATTTTGTTATTTTAAAAAAGGAAGATAACTCCATTTTATTTGGGGGAGAACATAGGTGTTATTATAAGAATCCTTGTGATTTACCTAACTGGATATTAGGGACTGCAAAGCAGAAAATAAGATAATTATGATATGCTGGTGTTGCATCTCACCTGCGTTTAATCTGATCACTAACTTTAGAACCGAAGCCCTTCCCCTACCAGAAACTATAACTCTACAAAACCATTGCCAAGGGATGAGAATGATACCATTCAGCGGAACTACAAACAAGAAAGTCAAACTGGAAAACCAGAAAACAGATGGCTAAACTCTTTTCTAAACTTTTCCAAGAGCAGTGTTTATGCAGGTATGTATTTCTGATTAATCAAAATATAGATTTGAATCCAGTTAACATGTTTTGAGCACGGCATCTGTGCCAAGACCTTTAAACACACACACACACACACACACACACACACGCACACACACACACAACAACAACAACACCACAAACAGACAAGAAGGCATTATAAAGTTTTAGATATTAAGATAGGATGGATTAAACACCACAGGTAAGGGGACCCCTCACTCTAAATTCACCTTTAAAGATTTGGAAATTATCTTACCAGTAGAAGATCATCATTCCTTGTAGCACATCAGCTCCTGCTGAGCAGCGACCCTAACCTTGGAAGAGGACAGCTGTGGCTTGGTTTACCCCGCAGTGGTAGCTCTGTATTCAGAGCACAGTCATGTATTCAGAAGCACTCAAAAGAAAAAGAAGCAGAGGCCACCAGCTAAACCACTCATGGCCTCCTCAAACAATGACACTGAAAAGCCATGTGCCCCTTGGACTTGCCACATCATTGGCCTGGCTTGTGTAGCAGCAGGAGGCCAGAGTTAGGAAGACTTCATTTCTCCTGCCACTTCATCCCTTCATGCAAATAACCTGTGCAGCCTGTTTTCTTCCTGTGTTCTATTAACTAGGATATGAGGTAGAAATATGTCACAATCATGGGAAACATACAAAACTTGATGACTGAAATGTGCTTGTCTGTGAAGTGCCACCTATGCCTTCAAAGTGATAAAGATCCAGACTGAGTTGAAAAGAATGATAAAGACAGAGCTGAGAGGGCCACAGTTTTAGTGACAGCCTCAGCTGTGACAAAGGAGAGAAAACAGAAAGACCTGGGAAAGTGCAAGGATGAAGCAATTAAGTTTGAGAAATGTGATGTGAGGTTTAGGAAAGGTGGATTTTAGCCCCAGCAGACTTTTAGCTGGACACGGACCTAATACCTTGAGACTTCATTGTTCCCATTAAAGAAAAAATTATCTTCTGACTTTCTAGGGGTTTGGGGGTCCCAGATATCAAAAGATTTAAACCACTTAGGAGGTAAGTTCTAAGTTCTCTATGGAACTGCAATTATTATTTTTGATATTTTTGTTATATTATAATGCATAAACCTGGGACTGGCTACATACTTTGCAGAGTTCAGGAGAAAATGAAAAGGAGGGATTGCATGTACAAAATTATTAAGACTCACAGGCTGGTAACAGCAAGACCCTTCTGATCAGGAGGTTCTGCATGAATGCACTGGTCACCAGGCCATGAAGCGAGCTCTGCATAAACCAGCATCAGAAAAAAAAAAAAAAGAATTTTTTTCTGATGCTTGGTAGTCAAATACAGCTGATTGTATCAGAATGCGAGCAACACAGGGAAGATTGAGGATAAGCCCAACAAGGGCAGGTATTTTTGTTGTTTGGGTCACTATTTTACAGGAGTACAGGCTGCCCAGTTAAACATGAATTTCAGATAAACAGCAAAGAGGATGGCGAGGAGTAAGAAAAAACAAAACAAAAAAATTCTTGCTTCAGGATGGATCATTGTTTCCATAATCATTTTCAAGGATGCATACATAAATATATAATATTCTTAAACACTTTTGGAGACAAAATCTAATTAATTTATAGATAAATGTATCAACCATAGAGAGAGAATTGCTATATCACACTCTGGGACGGCTGTTTGCATTCAATTGTGCTTTTAATTTCTTATTTATTTATGCTCCCAAACAACTGATTATTTGATTAAATTGATTTTATTTCTTCAAAGATTTTTGAACCTTCAGTCTAAAAAGACTAAAAGCTTAATGGTTAAAGGAAAATGTATCTAACCTGGTGAGAAATTAGACACTGGGCATACTCTTCTCTATTTTACTTTTTCTCTTTCCGCTTCTGTATATTTTTCCTTGCTTTTTCTTCTTTCCTCTTTCCTATCTTCCTTCCACCCTGCACAAAGCCACCTGTCTTTTACCATGTGTATAGTACAGGTAAACTTTGAGTACTAACTGCAGCCAGCATTAGGCATCTAAACATCACATATCATGTGATCAAACTCAATTATTCAGAATGCTGTCCTTATTTTAACAGAGATATTACAACAGCCTTAAATACTAGCCTACTATTAATATTACTGAGGTGTATTAGTCTGTTATCACACTGCTATAAAGACAAACCTGTGACTGGATAACTTATAAAGAAAAGAGGTTTAATTAGCTCACAGTTCTGCAGGACGCACAAGCTTCTGCTTCTGGGGAGGCCTCAGGAAACTTACAATCATTGCAGAAATCAAAGGGGAAGTAGTTACATTTTCACATGGCCAGCAAGAGAGAGAGAGCGAAGAGGGAAGTGTTACACACTTTCAAACAAGCAGATCTTGTGAAAACTCACTCACTGTCACAAGAACAATAAGGGGGAAGTCCACCACCATAATCCAATCACCTCCCACCAGGCCCCTCATCCAACATTGAGGATTATGATTCTACGTGAGATTTGGGTGAGGACCCAGAGCCAAACCATATCATGAGGAAACACTGGCCTTAGCCAGAGTGGGTATAAGAGAGAATATACAAAGGCGTATGCATGAATACATAAGCATGTTTTTGTGAATGTCACTTTATTTAAGCTCAATTCTTTGGAGTCAAAGAAAACTCCATACACTGAATTCCCTCCTGAAAGTGGCCATTGTGGAGGATTCATGATGAATTCAAGTACGTTTGAAATCCTAGAGTTCTTCAGGACAAGTAAATAAACAGAAGTAAAGATCACCTCCGTTATGTAGGTGAGATTTTGGTTCTGCCCCAGGATGGCACAGAGCAAAGCTGTCCATACAGAGGTTCTGCATGACCCTCTGCAGTTGCTTCTGGGCTGTCTCATTCACAATCCTACCATTGGCCTGCTGGTAAAAAATCATTTGTAGAGAGGGACATTCCCCCCCTACCCCACCACCAAATACTAACTAACCTTGTAAGGCTTCTCCAGCATGTGGGGTTGCCAGATAAAATACAAGCTGCCCAGTTAAATGTGAATTTCAGATAAACAGCAAAAAAAAAATTTAGTATGGATATCTCCCAAATACTGTATGGAACATATACTAAAAAGTTATTTGTGTTCATCCGAAGTTCAAATTTAACCTGGCATTCTTTTTTTTTTTTCTTGCTACATCTGGCACTCCTTGGAGCATGGAATTTAGCAGAGCATGCTTTGAGTATTATCTGGGCTTTACTGAGCTTCTGTTCACACCCTTACAGCAAATGTACCCCAGAGTATAAAGAATATCGAAGGTCAGTTGGATCCCACTGGAGGAACTAAAGCAGTCACATTGACCAGCAGAAACGAAAATGGCGTGCCACTGTGTTAGGAGGTTGTGGGTCAGGGGCGCCCTGGGCAGTGGTGTCTTGGGGCCTGTGGACACTGTAGGGAGTTCTATGAAAGCTGTGTGAAAGCTCAGACCCACATAGGTGGGTCTGAGAGAGACGCTGTGTGTGCTGTTTGTTGTCTTCTCCAGTTAGAGGAGGCAACGGAGTATGGCAGAACTGTCTTCGTCATTAGTTTTCACTGGGATGTTTCTGCTTTGGCAAAATACTCATCAAATATCTGAGTCCGCAAAACGCATGGCTTGCCGGGAGAAGGAAACTTTGGGGCTGCTCCCAAGCCAGTGCTTGGGAGAAAACATCCCAAATAGGGGTGAACACAGGCTCATGAGCAGAAGGCTTTGGCCTCCATGGGGATATCAGGAAATTCAAGGTCCATTATCCTTTTTCCCTCTGGTAGAAGCACATGCCCATTGGCAGAAAAGACTGTGAAGTTTGGAGCAAGCTCATCTTTTTTCACATAGTAAAAGGGAGATTTAACTCAATGACTAATTTTATTTATTTAAGAGACACATAGCGTTTCTTATCTGCCAGGCGTTGTTCTAAATGCTTGGCAAGCATCAACTCACTAAATCTTTTAATAAACTGGGAGATAGGTTTTATCATTGACCCCATTTTACAGAAAAAGAAACTGAGGCAGAGAGAGATTAAATAACTTGCCCAAGGTTACACAGGTAGGAATCATCCCGGGCTATCTTTTAACTACCTTGCTAGAGTTCAAGGAGGGCTTGTTCCCACAATCAAGCAAGCATTCAGGTTTTTGTGATGACGATAAGAGGATGAAGATGTATGATGAGGCACATAGCTCCGTGCTAGCTCTGGAAGGGTCAAAGATACATGACCGCTGGCTGGCACATCATAGGCACTCTAGAATTACAGTTATTGCTGTTAGGCCTGGAAACCCTTATTGTGGGTGCCAGACCAGTGCAAGCTGCTAGGGACACATAGAAGAAAAAGTCCTTATCTCTGTTGCAGAAGTTGACAGGTATGAATCATATTTTCCTCCCAAACAGGACAATCAAGTAAGAGTGATGCAGTTAGCTGTGGTGAAGCAACTGGCCAAATAGTCCCTGAAATGCTCAGAAAAGACCACTAGTGATCTTCTAACTTCTAGCCTTTCTCCAAGCTGATTATCTGTTATCTGTATTTCCTAAAGATGTGCCTGGTGGCCACATTGTATACCCAAATATTCACTTATGTGATAAATCCACCAACATTGGCCACGTTAAACAATACCCAGGGATTGGGTATCCCTGAGATTTAAAAACAAGTTTTATTATTATTTGTTGCTGTATTTCCTGACATCTTAATAAAACAGATTTATGAAACAAGAGACATTAAGATTTGGGGTAATTGAACCTTTTGCTGATATTTATAAAATCAGAGGATCTCAGGGATGGCAAATACCTCCAAGTTGTTCTGGCTCAGCAGTCCACTGGGTTCTGAATTGTCCTCTATCTCATTCTTGCTAACTTCCAAGAATCCCATTAAGAGCCCAGATGCATACGCAGTGATTGTTTAAACTAGTTATAATGCTACTATATCAGGCAGTTATGATTTATGTTATGAACTTCAGCTTCACAGTCTATACTATATCTTATCCAGAAAACTCTGAATGCATTAAAAAAACCCATAGATTGTACATTGAAAGTTGATTACATTTTCTTGAAATACATATACTTCCCTAGCTAGAGGTTTGTCATTTTAAAAAAATCTGTTCAAAGAACCAACTTTTGGTTTGACTGATTTTCTCCATTGTTTTTCTATTCTTTAGTTTACTAATTTTCACTCTAATCTTTATGATTCTTTGCTTCTGCTTGCTGTTTTAGTTTGGTGCTCTTTTTCCAGCATCTTAAGGTGGGAGGTTAGGTTTTTAGTTTGAGATATTTCTTCTTTATTATTATGGGAATGTACAGCTATATATTTTCCTCTAAGCACTGCTTTGATTTCATCCCACAAATTTTGGTGTGTTGTGTCTTCATTTTCATTCATTTTAAAGTACTTTCTAATTTCCCTTTGACTCATAGTTTTCTTCTTTGACTCATAGGTTATTTAAGATATGTTGTTTTATTGTTACACCTTTGTGAATCCCCCAAACATCTTTCTGTTGTTATTGATTCTTAATTTTTTTCATTATGGTCATAAAAAAGAATTTGCATTAATCATTTTTAATTTAATGAAGGCTGTTTATGGTATCTTATATGGTCAATCCTTAAGAAGGTTCCATGTGCACTTGAAAAAAAAAGCCTATTCTATTGTTACTGGGTGGAGTTTTCCATAGATGTCTGCTAGGTCTACCTGGAGTTGGTTTATATGTTGATCACGTCTATTTCCTTGTTTGTCTTCTGCCTACTTGTTTCATTCATTACAGAAAGTTAGTATGAAAGCTTCAAACTATTATTGTTGAATTTTCTATTTCTCCCTGATATGGTTTGGCTTTGTTCCCACCCAAATCTCATCTTGAATTGTAGCTCCCATAATTCCCATGTGTTTTGGGAGGGACCCAGTGGGAAATAATTGAATCATGGGGGTGGTTTCCCCCATACTCTTTGAGTGGTAGTAAATAAGTCTCATGAGATCTGATGGTTTTATAATGGATTTCCTCTTTCACTTGGCTCTCATTGCGACTCTTGCCTGCCCCGATGTAAGATGTGCCTTTGCTCCTCCCTTGCCTTCCATCATGATTTTGAAGCCTGCCCAGCAGCATAGAAACATGAGTCCATCAAATTTTTTTTCTTTATAAATTACCCTGTCTCAGGTATGTCTTTATCAGCAGTGTGAGAACAGACTAATATATCCCCTCAATTCTGTTTGTTTTCACTGCATGGGATTTTGGAGTTCCAATTGTTAAGTACATATATGTTTTAAATTGTTATTTTCTCTAGATGAATTGACCCTTTTATCATTATAAAAGATTCCTCTCTATTTCTAGTAACTTTTTGGTTTGTTTTGAAGTCTGTTTTGTTTGATATTATAAAGTCACTACAAGGTTGCTGTTTGCATGGTATATCTTTTTCCATTCGTTTACTTCCAACCTATTTATATCTTTTGATCTCAAATGTGTCTCTTGTTGACAGCATGTAGTTGGATTTTGTATCTTTATCCAGTCTGATGATTTCAGCCTCTTGATTTGATTGTTATCCAATCAAATCTAACATTTAGTGTTATATTGATAGAGTTGTGTTTACATCTGATAGTTTGCTTTTTGTTTTCTGTCTCATGTTCTTTTTGTTCCTCTGCTCCTCCATTATTGATTTCTTTTGTATACATAAATTTCTTTCACTATGCTTTTTACTTATTTTCTAGTAGTTACTCTAAGGGTTTACCATATATGTCTTAATTTATCAGAATTTACTTCAGACCTATACTAACTTAATTCCGGTGAGATATAGAAACATTACTCCTATATAGC
This sequence comes from Homo sapiens, assembly GCF_000001405.40. Lineage (NCBI taxonomy): Eukaryota > Metazoa > Chordata > Mammalia > Primates > Hominidae > Homo > Homo sapiens. The sequence continues at coordinate 159,389,510 of NC_000006.12, forward strand.
TCTGTTAACCCCACATCTGGTCTCTTTCACAGGCACATTTGGTTACCTGCTTTTGATCCTGTGTAGATTATGCTTTTTCTGTTTCTTTGCCTCACAACTTTTTGTTGATAACCGAACATAAAATTTTATGGTAGCGCTGGATACCAATACCCTCTCTGAGCCTTGTTGTTTTTGTTTGCTTGTTTATTTATTTTGCTACTTGGCTAGACCATTCTAGGGATGTCTATTTCCCCAGTAGTGTGAGACCTCTGATGTTGCTTCTCAAAGAGTGCAAAATTAGAAACGTGTTCAGCCAGGTGGGATGAGATTTGTTTGAGCAGGGCTTTCTTTGACTATTTCTTTCCCTTGTCACAGCCAGCTGATAGGCTCCACTAACTGCTTGCTGATTGCTCAATTGTTTACAAGAATGCCCTGATAGAAACTGTTCCACAGTCTGATTCAATTAAATTTGAGCTCTTTTGCAGGGGTAGGTGTGAAGTCAGTGTTTGAAGTTTGTTCTGACCTCAGAAGGGCTCGTCATAGCTATGTCTTATAATTGGTTCTCTCTCATAAACGAACTGGTCTATTATTTAGCTTGGGTCTCTTGTGAAGTCTCCTCTTAATTGCTTAACCCTGAATCTTCCATTGCTTATGATAGTGTCTTTAGGCTCGAACTTCCCCACACTGTGTTTCAAAGGCAAACTTTAGAAGGCTTGCCTCTCCCCCTGGGATAAATCTTTGAGCCATGGCTCCGTAGCTGGGGATAGGAATAGTGGTGACTCCCTGCTTTTAGGAGCAGGGCACCAGGTGAGATGGCAGCCTCTGGTTTTCCCAGCTTATCTCTCCTAATATGGAGACTGCTGCATATTGGAGCAGAGTCTGCCCTATGAACAAGCTGAATGAGAGCAAATGGGACCCCAGTACTCTCAGTGTGCTATGGCTGATTGAAGGATGGATGGAAGAAGGGATTCCTTGACCCAGCTGCACTTGACTGGAATTTACACTTTGCAATTCTTAGCTGGGGAGAATGAGAAATGCTGGCAGCCTGCCCTTCCTGGGAAGATGCCGCAGCCCTCGATTGAGAACTGAGGGGAGCAGGATCTTGCGTTCTTGGCTGCACTCACTTGGGATGGAGTCTCTGTTATGCTGAGCTAGGAGAGAGAAAGGAGGAAGTGGGTTGAGGTTCAAATGCCAGACTCTTACTGTTCTGGCAGACTTTTAGTAGACAGTCTGGAGCAAATTTTCTGCATTTGCTGTGTGCCCTTAGAGCAATTTCCAGAAACTTCTGATGGTTGTTGTTGCCTTTTATATTTTCACCAGTTATGTGTGTTTAGTGGAGGAGCAGAGCCATGCAGCAGCTCACATGGCCATTCTGGGAATGAGAACATATTCTTCCAGTTTTCAGTACTTTTTTAGGTATGCTTCATGCACACAAAGAACAACTTTCACAATTGTTTAAATGGCCTATAAAAGGGGAGGGGAAATACTTTACTTTATATTCACAATGTCACTGACCATACATGGGGTTTCAGTTTGATTGGTTAGTTGTTTGTTTATACACTACCAGCCACATCAGACAGGACTGGAGATGGTTTAAAAACTGGATATGCTATAGCAAGAAAAGCAAAACATTAATTCAGGGAAGCAAGGCAAAGGGAAAGTAAGAAATTCTTAGAGGTTTTTCCAATAATGATTATGCATTTTGTTAAAGTGCTTGAATTTTCTTGACTGCTCACTAATGTAATAAAAAACAAACATGGTTTTTCAAGGTGCCTAGTCTCCTTAAAGGGACAAATCATAGCCTCTGCTTTTTTGGGCTGCATTTTCCTATAGTATTTAACCTGTGGGATCAGCTACTCATTAACATAGGTTTTACAAGCCATTTGTTTTTATGAAACTGTTCCTTCTGTCCTGTGTTAATCTCCAGACTTCTGAAATAACTGCCTATCTTATTCCTCAGATATATTCTACTAAAATTTATTATCACATTGTCTTATAAGAATAAATAACTAGAGCTGAAATGTATATGAGTAATTCATTTCAGTTAATTTGGAATAGCTTGTTCATAGCTCTGACTATATAGAGATACCTGATAGATATACTACTACATTCTCCTTTAGTCTTGTTATTTTGGGCCCAAAGCACCAAATCAATGTCCTTTGCTTTTATTTCAAATTGTATTGTCAGGTCACAAACATTAAATTCCCACAAAATTGTCATTTAATGAAAGATTCAGATCTTTAGAACATATAGTTTACTTGATACCAAATAAAGGTGATTGCATTGCCACTGGAATTTAAAGCCTTGGAGCTGCATTATTCAGATTTGGTAACATCTTTTGTCTACCCATAGTTATCTCAGTCCTTCGTTCTTGCTAACGAAACCCTGACTTTATTCAGAGTGGCAATATGACAAGTTTCCAGCAATGATTCAGGATTGCTTTAGGCCAATTATGATGAGCTTTCCTCTTTGCCATATGAAAGGAGTCTTTTCCCCACTCCTTTACACCTGCAGGTGGCTGTGGCCCTGATCTAGTCATGAGATGTAGAGGGAGTCTACTGGGTCAGGGAAGGGGGATCTTCTGGGAAACATCTTTCTCTGTTGTAAAAAAGAAATCCCTTTTTTCATCACATTTCTTTTCCCTTCCTAAAATAAATGTACCCATGCAAAGATGTAATATTAAACCTGTGGCAGCTATTTTGTAATGCTGAGGGACAAGCCTGAAGATGCAAAACTCATATCCTGAAGATGGGAGAGACAAAAGGAGTCTGTATTCTTAACAACAATTTTTAAGCTGCTGCAAAAATCTGGAAGCTTATCTTCAAACTTCTTGTTATGTAAAATAATTAAAAACTACTTTATGGCTTAACTGGTTTTTAGTCAGATACTCTGACTAGTCAGATATTGGAGCTGAAAGTATTTCTAATATATACAGTGCTCCTATGAAGTTGTTAGTTAAAATCAGGTGGATAGCCAAGAATTTTACAATTAAGGCAGAAGAATTAGAAGCTAACCTTAATGTAGGCTAGTATTTAAAACGACCCTTGAGCACTCAGTTTACTCAGGATTTGTGTCACTAATAATTTTCAGACCTTGTATTTAGTAGTTCATTGAAAATCCAAACAGAACAAGTGCTATTGGTTTTATTTTTTTCCCCTACCATTTGCATCTGAATAAACATGCCTGGGGCTCTGCAGGAGACCCCTGTCAGATTTTTGAGATGTCTGCTAGACCCTCCCTCATTTGGTGAGTGTATTAATCCATTTTCACGCTGCTGATAAAGACATACCTGAGACTGGGCAATTTACAAAAGAAAGAGGTTTAATGGACTTACAGTTCCATGTGGCTGGGGAAGCCTCACAATCATGGTGGAAGGCAAGGTGGAGCAAGTCATGTCTTACATGGATGGTAGCAGGCAAAAAGAGAACTTGTGCAGGGAAACTGCCATTTGTAAAGCCATCATATCTCATGAGACTCATTCACTATCACGAGAACAGCACAGGAAAGACCCGCCCACATAATTGAACCACCTTCCACCAGGTTCCTCCCACAACAGGTGGGAATTGTGGGAATTACAATTCAGGATGAGATTTTGATGGGAACACAGTCAAACCATAATAGTGAGTGAATCTCACCAAATATTTATTGCTTTTAGATATCTTGCAAATTCCTATTCTAAGCTCATGGAGAGAAATGTGTAAGCTCTTTCCTTTCTTGCAGGTTTCCATTGGAAGGAGAAGACTGTCTTTAGCCCACTGCATCCCCTCAAGCCATCCCAAGCTTTCTCTGTGCCAGGGACTGGACGCACGCTAAAATACGAACCTGTGTGGACTTCTTTCTTAGGAGCCTTTGCACCAGCACAGTTGAGTTGTTACACCATTCACTTCTGTCTCTAACTTAACAACCCACCTTGGGAGGTTTAACTCAATATATCTTTGTTACTATTTATAAAATAGTGTGTCTGTTCCCCATTTCCTCTTCCTAAATGCATTGACTTGCTCTTCTACTCTTATTTCAAAACATAAAAGGAGAGCTCTCAAGAAGCTGTTGGCTCCTGCATCCCATCAGTCAGCACCAAAACCTTACTAAGAAAGATGGTTGTCTATTTTTCATCCTATATGGTAACTTAACTTATTAAACATAGTAATACATTAGATTGGTATATGACTTAGAGTTTACAGGTGCTTTTATGATAAATATTTTGTCATTTAATGTCCTAGGAATTTTATGTGTTGGGTTTTTATTCCTCTGTTTAAAACAAGGAAGTTGAGAGCCAGAGAGATGAAGTGACTTACCTAGGGCCACATTGATACATGAGGCGGGAAGGGAAGTGCTGAGTAGAGAAGGGCAGGGTCCCTGGCAAGGGCTCCACCACTGGGCCTGTGCCCACAAACCTAGGTGAGGAAAAGCACTCCTGTTTTCATGCCCAAATGTAGCATTTTCCAAGACCGCTCTGACCCTCCACACCCCCAACCTGTGCCTATAAAAACCCTGACACCCTAGCAGGCACACACACAAGCAGCTGGACATTGAGAAAAACACAACGGCAGAACACATCAATAGATGCTGGCAGGTCATTGATGGCGAAATGATGTGGATGCCAAGGGAAATTTGACCAAGGGCGGTTGGAGGAGAGCCCAGCTGCTGAGCAGCCCAAACTCCAGGGGAAGACCACCTTCCCACTCCATCCCCCTTCTGGCTCCCCATCCATCCACTGAGAGCTACTTCCACCACTCAATAAAACCTTGCACTCGTTCTCCAAGCCCACACGTGACCCGATTTTTTCGATACACTAGGGCAAGAACCCCAGGATAGAGAAAGCCCTCCATCTTTGTGATAAGACAGAGGGTCTAACTGAGCTGATTAACACAAGCTGCCTGCGGATGGCTAAGCTGAAAGAGTACACTGTAATACACACCCACTGAGGCTTCCAGAGCTGTAAACACTCAACCCTAGACACTGCCCTGGGGTTGGAGCCCACGTGCGCCACGACCTGCCTGTCTGCCTGCTCCCCCTAGGGGTTTGAGCTTTGGGGCACAAAAGAAGCGAGCCACACCCCCATCACATGCCCTGTGAGGGGGATAAGGGAAAACTCCTGTCCCGTTTCAACACGGCATGACTCGCAAAGAGATGTTAGGTGTGTGTCCCGGTTCTCCTTTACCAGTGTTTGAATAGAGGGTGAAGATGGCAACCCTGGAAGGTAAGTTAGAGAGTGTATTTCATTTTTATGCATAGTACATTGAAATTCTATGTCTTACTCCCTTTTCCATGTGGGATAATTAAACCTGCCATGTGTCAAGGGAAGTTGAGTGAGATCAGGGAGGGGGGTGCTCTGAAGAACCAGAGGCAAATATAAACTCAGGAGGGGCAAGGTCAGCCCCAGGAAGCAGCATCAAATCCTGGGTCTCCAGAGTGGGTGCGAGATGACAAAGACACAGGCAAGAGGCTGGGAGCCAGGGCATCAGGACAAGGCCGGAGGCAGAGGCCAGATTACATGGAGCAAAATAGTGTGATCTGGCTCACAATATAAGTTACAAATACAGAAAAGGGTCTTGACCGGGTTCTGACCAGGCACTGGTCTGGTGGCACAGGAAAACTGTCCCACTGGAAGCCTAAAGAAACAAAACCACTGAGGGTTGAAGAATGGGGTTTCACAGTTGCTCTAAAATAGCCATCAATCAATGCAAATGTGAACTGGGTCTGACCAGAAATGCTCTGATAGAAGGTGAACATTATTTTAAAATATTATCCTTGAAAAACATACATGAAGATAAATGTCTTTGACCAGAGACAATAGAGTTATGCAAATTCCGATCATTCAAACTGCATATGGGAAGGAAGGAGGTGCATCCTTGTTGCCAATGAAGACGCTGAGGAAAAGCCAAGCACCGTGGTGGGGTGAGGATAGGCACCATAGAAAAAGAATACTTTCTGGCATCATCTTGGTTGAAGAAGGCAATGGAAGTCTTTTACAACTAAGAATAGACAGCAACTCCTGAAAATCTTTTAGCTCATAGTTTCATCTGAAAAACAGTCAAATTTTGAGTCCAGTCTAGCTGAAAATGTGCATCCCTTGTTATGGGGTGGGTGCTGTTTCCGTGGATAGAGGTGATTCTGAAGGGGACCAAGCACCCTGGTTTGCCCAGGACTGACGGTGGTTTCCCTGGACACAAGACTTTCAGACTGGGAAAGTATTAGGCAAACCAGCACAAGTTGGCCATCAGCGGCAACCTTTCTCCCACAATGACACAATTCTTCTTAGAATAACCCACAGCTGCCAGGATGCCCCTCTCATGCTCACCCACGACATCTGCCAGGTCAGGGCCAGGACACCAGACAGATGGAGCTGGGGATGACCATGGTGTGGGGCATGCGCTGGGGCGGGCAGACTCCTCAACAGCTGGGCTCAGCAATGGCCTCTGCCCCAGCACATTTTCTGAAGAATTTAGCTGTCTATTTTCAGAGGAAAAATACAAATGTTAAGTCCTTCGTGTATGCAGTAGACATTTAAGAATTCCACTTCCACCCCACCCTCAAAATTGGGCTTTATTTATTTTTATTTTTTTTACCAGAGAAAGAGACAGAGACAGTGATGGCGAGACTCAAGCACGCATATCTTGATGGACTCCAAAATGCTCTTCCTAATTCCTTCTCTGTGGCTCATTCTTCATCCTCTATTTGCATTGGTATGCCAATTCATTGCTGACACTTCAGTGGATGACTTGGAAGTGATTTTTAAAAAATTATTACATCAATGTCAGTATGACAAACTTTGCCAGTTCAAATGTGTACTGCCTTGGAAGTGGCATTGCATGAGGAAAAATTATTTTCTAACAAAAATAGGAATAAAATTCAAAATTATATATAAAAATCTAAAATGAAAACGACAGAACCTGTAGTAACCTCTGCATGATGTAAAGGTGGTTGCAATAAAAATCGCGAGGAAAACTGAAAAGCAGACTGCTTCATTCTCCTTGTGATTCATCGGCCTTGGGGTTTCAGCCTCTGAAAGTTAGAACATGTGTTTGTTTGATGTGAAAAGTATCCAGAGACAAATATCAAATCTCACATAAATTTTTAGTACCTTGGGTAGATTGTAAAATCAAGACTGCTTCATGAAGGCAACAGGACTCTAAATAAACTCTGGAACTAGAGTCAGTCTTTTTATAGTGTGGATACTATATGTAGGGTAGGTAAGTTATTTTACAGAATAAGAAATCTAGACATGAAGACTCAAATGAGTTTAAGGTTTTGCCTAAACGCATACAACTTTTAAGCCACACCTGGGCCAAACCATTTGACCCCAGATCTGTGCTTTTCCTGCTATCCCACATGGAAATGTATCTGGATGATGTGGAATTTCTCCTGTATTCCTCGCCCTTTCTGACTATACCTTGTGTATTGGTCTAGTTAGGTAAATGCAAGTACACGTAAAGCCCCACCCCACCACCTATTACCTGCAATTTTTTTAACCACTCTGAGTCATAGCTGGCTGTTTAAAAAATGTGCATATAAATTCATACCTCGTGGGGGATATTGTGAGACTTAATGAGACAACATTTGTAAAGAATTTGGGGTAGTCTTTGGCACATAGTAATAGCTCAATAAACGGAAGTGTAAGGTAGAAAAACTACATAAAAATAACACTCTGTAAGCAAACTTCTGCAAAAAATGTCATTATAATATGTCAAATCGTGGTATGCTAGTTTTAAAACTGCCTTTGCAAAAATTATAACTAAGACAATTATTACAGTCAAAGAGATCTGACCTAACTCACCCCATCTTGCTTCTAACGTCCAAACTGTCCTTGTCCATTCCTGGATGTAGGCCGAACTCATTTTGGGAGGAACTTAGTTTATAGTTTAACTTTGAAACAAAAATGATAACAGCCTTTTCCCAAAATAAGCCCCCTTCCTGTCTGAGGACTAGACTTCCTTTGTAGTACTAGCCACAAGATTAGAGATGATGGTTTAGGGGTCATGCAGCTGGAGGCTGCAAGATTCTCAGCCTCCCCAAATTGCTCCTGGGGATAACATCACTACTGTCGAACCTAAGATCAGTGCTTGAGATATTTTGTAGACCCTGCACTGGGTGAATCTATTGGCACCACTCAGATCGATAAACTAGCTCATCTGGTCTTGTGGCTCCCACCAAGGAACTGACTGAGCGCAAGAGGACAACTTTGACTCCTTATAATTTCATCTCCTACCCAACCAATCAGGACTCCCAACTCACTGCCTCCCTACCCACTTACCCACTAAATTATCCTTAAAAACTTCAATCCCTGAGTTTTCAAGGAGACTGATTTGAGTCATAATAAAACTCTGGCCTTCTGCACAGCTGGCTCCATATAAATTACCCTTTTTCTATTGCAATTCCCCTGTCTTGATAAATTGGTTCTGTCTAGGCAGGTTACAGTTTGCAAAGCAGTTTGAGTCATCAGCACCACTTGTAAGGATTTATTAAATCTCCCCTCTGTCTGGGGGCTGTGTGTATGTGTGCCCATGCCTGGATGAGTGTGGTGTGTGTACTGGGGTCAGAGCAGACAGTATAGGGCAGGTTTTAAACAAATGTGATACCTGGGCTTAGCTTTCAAGAAGTTTCCAATCTTGTTGAAGATTTAACTCTGGAACTGAAAAATTCACAACTAGATCTGATGTTTCTCAAATTAATAACAGAAGAAATAAGACCTCCAGGAGCTGACAGGAGGGAGTGGGCAGCCCTGGCTAGAGTGACCCAGGAGAGCTTCACTGAAGACATGGGATTTGCAGTCACCTTGGAAAGATGAAGAGGATCCGACAGGCAGAGAAGGAGCCAGCCATGGTGGCACGTGCCTATAGTCCCAGCAATGGGTTTGGGGTGGGGTGGGCAGTGGGAGTTGGAGGGAGTAAGGAGGCTGAGCAGGAGGAGATTTGGAGCCCAGGAGGCTGTAGTGAGCTATGATTGCACCACTGCACTCCAGCCTGGGTGACAGAGCAAAATCCTGTCTTAAAAAAAAATAAAAAGCAAATAAAAGCAGGCACAGAAGGGCCAAGAGTTCTTAAAAAATAAAAAAAAAAAAAGGAAATCTCAGAAATCATCTTTCTTCTTGTTAAAGTAAGTTTAGCCTAAAGCTGACTCTTTTCATATTTTAAGCCCAGCCTAAAGGTTTCTTCACACATAGTAAACTGAAACATAACTAGATGTGTAAGCAGATTAAACTACTCTTATGCCAGTCACCAAGTTTTGACCAATTAAAGGGGGCTAACTTTTCAAATCATGTTCAAAAAAGACAAACACCAAGCTGTAACCAACTGAGCTGTTTCTGTACCTCACTTCCGTTTTCTGTCCATGAATCTTCTTCCACCACGTGACTGTGCTGGAGTCTCTCTGAGCCTACTCTAGCTCAGGAGGCTGCCCAATTCATAAATTGTTCTTTGCTCAACTAGATTCCATTAAATTTAATTTTTCTAAGGTTTTAACAATCCTAAATTTGGCCATCAATAATCCAGAAGTCAAGACATAATAGATGTCCCTATCAGATAACTCTGAAGCCTGTGTCAACTCTAAGCTCTGCTGGCATCTCTGCCACAGGGAAAGAAGAAAAGGATGGGGAACCACACAGCAGGGACAGGGTGGGGCCCTCTGCAGCAGGGGCCTGAGGTCAGCTGTGGCCCTGGGCCCATATCCCAAGCTCTTGATGACCGGCTGGCACTTTGCAAAATATGGAGTCCTGGGAAAACTTCAACAGCTCATCTTTGGCAAACAGATAGCTATACCACAAGAGTGTACCAGCCTCAATATACCAGGGGCTGTAGCTGGAAGAATGCAGTGGAATTCCATGCATCTACCTTTCTAGCCTGGGCTTCTCATGGCACACTGCGTAAATGGATATCTGGGCAAGCAAATGAGTGGCAGATCACACTTTCACAATCTGGCTTCACAGCAGTAGCAACCTTTTGCAGAATTTGAAATGGCATTATTCACTTACCTCTGAATAATCCTTATTGCATCCTTTCAATATTCCAGAAATTGAAATTTTATTAAAATTCAAACTCAGGAAAATGACATTTATTCCACCTCAGGGAAATGGTATTAATAACATTATCCCACCCACTCATATTTTTCCATGAGCCCTCACTGACTCTTCCCCCCAACTTCCTTTAATATCCAGGATGATTAATGAAAATTTTATATTTGTAGTTCTAGCTAATGGTTCATTATTCATGTCTGTAATGTTATCTAAGAGAAGGCGCTGTTGGCTAGGCCATTTTGATATGCATAACCAGCCATTTCTCTTACATTTGAAACGTCTTCATTCCTGTAATATTTTCGTGGCTGCAGCAGCTGTTGGACATTTTCTAGTTTTTGCACAGCTTTGCAGCTGTGGAAAAATCTTTACTAAAGGTTCTCCAGCTTAGTTTAATGCAGATGTCTGGACCTAGTGTGGTTAGCATAAAAATTCAATAGCAGCAGTAATTATTTTTATTATTGTAATATACAGGAAGAAAATCCTGGCTTCCAAGTTGGAAAGTCCAAGAAGGAGTCAGTAAAGTCTCCACCTCTGACTTCCTAGGAGGCTGGGACAGGGAACCCAAGGACTCAGGGTTCAGGGGACACAGGGTGCATGGTTTTGCCAAGGTCAAGTCCCCAAGGCCCCGTTGTGAGCCGTGAGCTGAGGTCACCGCTGGCCTCTCCATCGTGGCTCCTGCGTGTCAGCTGGGACTGGCAGTGGAGCTGTGCGCACAGCCCAGGAGAGATGCTCATGCTTTTTCCTTTGTTTTTCTGACCCCAAGAAAAACATCTCTGATTGAGACACTTGAGAGAACTCCTTCACTTTGGAAATTTGTGACATCACAAAGAGATTTGTGGCTGTCCTCTTACAAGGGATTACAAATGTTCCAAGGTCAATGCACCGTATCGCCATGGTTCAGGGACACCCCCCCCTTGCACCCCAAGACAGATGCTGAGGGATGCCAGCATTGAAACTGCATTTTCCTCTGGTCTCTAGATAACAGATTTTCTTCAATGGGTTCACAGGTTCTCTTGGCATCTCATGGCTTGTTCCAGCCCCTTTCACCCCAGAGGGGACCATCTTGTGACAAACCTGCTGCAAATCAACCTGTGACTTTGCAGGTGCTGTTGCTGCCTCAAAGCTCACCTTAACCAGGCCTCCCAGGGAGGTGGGGAGCATAAAATGTCATTTTGAAGTTTCCTTTTCCCTAGTTTCTAAAACACTCTGTGAAGAGCCTAATTTTGTATATGTGGCACCATTTCCTATTTTTAAGTTTTCTTGTCTCTCAGGCAAGATGTGAAGTGTGAAAGGGTGATAGAAACACCACAAGCAGAGGGAGGGCTGCTGTGGACGGCCTGTGAGTCTCCCTAAAGACTTGGTGACTGGAGTAATTTTTTTTTTCAGAGTCCATTCAAAGGACATCCCAACATCATCAGTTAACCAAGTGTGTGTTCCACCCCAGGGAAGGACAGCGTAGGGCCGAGAGGAATCACGGCTGAATGGTCTGAGATCCCGACCTGCAGAAGTAACTGGCCACTTCAGGGAAGAGATGACTAAGAGCACTTAGAATTTATCCAGCTCTCAAGGCGACTTCACCAAGGAACAACCACAGTGTTGTTTTTTCACAGAAACACCAAACTTGGAAATAAACCCTTCCAGGCTGTATGTGGCGCCTCAGTATTCTCCTAATTGTATTTCCAGAGGCCACTCAGAAGGAGGGAAGTGAGGCTTCCAGGTCTGGACAGCCAGGGTGCAGTCACACTCGGTCCCTCCCCATCCTCTGCCAGGAGGATTAAAGGGGTGCCCTGGGTGCTTCGTGCTGGGTTCCTTGAGTTGTGCTGAACCCCTCTCAACTTCAGTGAGGATGGCACTAGGTTCAAGAGGTCGAAGAGACCCAGAGCCAGTGAATGAGACATGGGGTTCTACTGGGGGTTTATATACATGGGAGAGAGTCCAGTGGTGGAGGCTGGACAGGAGAATTACAACCGTTTGCAAAAGCCATGTAGTTTACATAGCATTTTCGCTTGGTACCTTCCCCTAACCACCTCCACCCGGCAACCTTCATGCAACCGAAAACAAAGGGCCTCTATTTCCTGTGTGCTCAGCATCCCACGGGAGGAGCCAGGGGCTCAGATGTTCCTCATAGATACAGAAGGGACCCCTGGGTTGGCCACTCCTGGATTCCTTAGCTGGGAACTCTGAACACACATCCAGGTGTGTCTGCCATGCAGGGTCATTCTTAGGGTGCAGTCAAGTCCAATTACTACTGTCAGGTACGTCTACCACACACCATGGGACAGATCCTTTGAGGACCAGATCTGCTGCCCTCACTGCCCACACTGAGGTTAGGAAGGGTGGGAAGCAGGAACCAGCCACACTTCTGTGCCTCCCAGCTGCCTTGCCAGTCCCCATGCAGCTCTCCATGAGAGATGCCAGTGTTTTAGCACAAAGGAACAACTAACGGGGGAATTCCAGGCAGCCACATGGGAAGTCGGCTTAACCGGGGAGGGAGGAAGGGCCTTTCTGTTCTCCACCCCACCAGCCCCCTCCAAGCCTCTTGCTCTCTGGGCTGTGCCTGGCCCCACAGAGACACCACATTCAGGGTGCCAATGCCTTTCTCTTCCAGCAGCCACCAGCCTGGAGTGGTGGTCTTGGTGGGGCTGAGCACAAGGGAAGCTGGGAGGGGCCCCTCCCCTTTCTGGCTCTCCTGGGCTCCCGTGGGCTGTGTTGCTGCTGTCCCTGGCTCACATCCTCCGTGGGAGTTCATCAGGACTGAAGCGCATGGCCAGGAGGGGTGGATCTAGATAGCAGGGCCTGGGCCCATGAAGCCAGCTTGGCTGTGTGAACCCATCTCTAGGGCCTCTAGGTCCCATCATTCCCTGTACATGGCTGAATGCCTGGTGTGATTTGAGGGACCCCAAAATTCACCGCCACCATAACCCACTAAAAATTTGTTTGTACCAATTTGAGGAAGGATAGTCATTACTTTGGAGTGAGGCTTTCTCTAACAGTTATCTCCCTACCCCCTTTAAATACAAATATTTGTATTTAATGGCAGGGCAGGTAATTCATTGACCTTTTATACTTCATTTTTCACAGATTAGCTGTTAGATCCCTAGCAAAATGCCTGGAATGGGCCAAAGGACAGGGGAAATGTTGCTAAAAGGAGAAAAGAGGTGCGGTCCACAATGTGGGAAAGGAAGCAGGGTGGGCCAGTGCTGTGGCAGGGGAACCCTGAAACCAGAGGGTTCCTGGGGTAGGAGGATTATGGGCTGCCTGGAGGGCAGGAGAATGAAGGGGGAGCAGGGAGAGTCCTGGGCTGCAGAGGAAGGATGGAGTCCAGAAAAAGCCAGAATGAAATTCGGGCTTGCCTTGCCCAGACCCACTGAGTGAACCTGACAGCAGATTTAAAACAGAAAAAACAAACAACCCCATCAAAAAGTGGGCAAAGGATATGAACAGACACTTCTCAAAAGAAGACATTTATGCAGCCAAAAAACACATGAAAAAATGCTCATCATCACTGGCCATCAGAGAGATGCAAATCAAAACCACAATGAGATACCATCTCACACCAGTTAGAATGGCGATCATTAAAAAGTCAGGAAACAACAGGTGCTGGAGAGGATGTGGAGAAATAGGAACACTTTTACACTGTTGGTGGGACTGTAAACTAGTTCAACCATTGTGGAAGTCAGTGTGGCGATTCCTCAGGGATCTAGAACTAGAAATACCATTTGACCCAGCCATCCCATTACTGGGTATATACCCAAAGGACTATAAATCATGCTGCTATAAAGACACATGCACACGTATGTTTATTGCAGCACTATTCACAATAGCAAAGACTTGGAACCAACCCAAATGTCCAACAATGATAGATTGGATTAAGAAAATGTGGCACGTATACACCATGGAATACTATGCAGCCATAAAAAATGATGAGTTCATGTCCTTTGTAGGGACATGGATGAAATTGGAAATCATCATTCTCAGTAAACTATCACAAGGACGAAAAACCAAACACCGCATGTTCTCACTCATAGACGGGAATTGAACAATGAGAACACATAGACACAGGAAGGGGAACATCACACTCTGGGGACTGTTGTGGGGTAGGGGGAGGGGGGAGGGATAGCATTAGGAGATATACCTAATGCTAAATGACGAGTTAATGGGTGCAGCACACAAGCATGGCACATATATACATATGTAACTAACCTGCACATTGTGCACATGTACCCTAAAACTTAAAGTATAATAATAAAATAAAAAGAGAAAAAAAAAGAAAGATGCACACACACACACACACACACACAAAACAGTGCCGACCGGCTCGCTTCCCTTGGGGTTAGCTCGCTTCCCTTGGGGTTAGCTCGCTTCCCTTGGGTTGCCTTCAATGACATTCAATGAACCCCTGAAGTCCCTCCTTATCCTTCACAGCCCTACAAAGCCAGCTGGTGGATACAGCTACTTTTGTTGATTTTTATATGAACTAAACTAATTAACTAAACAGATACTTGATCAACGGGTAATAAAATTCAGTGTTGGTGGATTTTATGTGTATCCACGCAAACAAATTTCAAGCATTAAAATCAGCACTTCCCAGTATCACACTTTCCAGAAGGCATCCTTTGAGAGTATTTCCCTGAAACAATAAGCCAGGGTGGCCATCTTCTCCCTGCTGAAAGCTCCTGCCTTCTTGGGGCATCCCAGCGGAAGGTATGTCCCCTTTCCAGCCTAACAAAACTTTCCCCACCCAATACAAATTCCAGTGTGAAACAAGTATATTTTGCCCTTACTCAAAATAGTGTCTGGTACCCATATCTAGTTAGCATGACAACAAAAGCATCCTAGAATGACATTGACCTATTATGACATTAATAGTCCTAATTAATTGTCCTAATTAATGTCCATATGACATTAATTGTCCTGATTAATCACTGTATGAATGGGAGGCTGCCCCAGCGCTGCAGAGAGCAAGGATCTTCCAGAGGCATGGGGTGGAGGTGGGGATGGGGGATGGGGAGACAGAGAGAGAGAGAGAGAACACTTGTTCATCCCTCACCTATGGTCCACTGGTATCCAAACACTGCAGAAACCACAAAGCATGGTTTTATTTTCTTAGTAATGTGCTGACTTTGGAGAAGTCATGAGACATGCGTGTTTCATCATCATATCCTTCAGTCCTCACTGAATGAGCATTAGGATTCTCAGGGAGCTGTGCTCAGAACCTCACAAACATAATCTCACAGGAGCATCACACGCATACTGAGAGGTCAGTGCAATTACAATCGCTATTCTGCAGATGAGGAAACTGCTCTCAGAGAGGCCAGGTGATTTGCTCAAAGTTGAGTCAGGACTGTAATCTGAGTGAGTCTGATTCCAAAGGCTAAGCCTTAACCTACCTCACATGGTTGATGATCTCTGTCAGTCACATACCCTCCCACCTCAACCTTGGCCTCAGGCTACTAAGCTTAAAGGCTAATAATAATCTTGACGAATATTTTAAAATCTGAGGCTAAAAATAATCTTGGCCTTAACCTTAATAACTTTCCATGGCTCTAGGTAGGGGTTTGCCTTTGCCTGGTTACCAAATTCACTTCAGGGCCAGGCGCTCTAAAACACTCTGCTTGGATCGAAAGTCTTAGCATTTTTTTTTTAAATTAATTTTAGAGACAGGGTCTCATTCTGTTGCCCAAGCTGGAGTGCAGTGCTGCAGTCATGCCTTACTAGAGTCTTGAACTCCTGGGCTCAAGCAATCCTCCTGCCTCAGCTTCTTGAGTAGATGGGACCACAGGTGCATGCCACCACACCCAGCTTATGTTTTATTTTTTAATTTTTTGTAGAGCTGGGGTCTCACTATGTTGCCCAGGCTGGTCTCAAACTGTTAGCCTCAAGCAATCCTCCCACCTCAGTCTCCCAAAGTGCTGGGACTATAGGCATGAGCCACTGTGCCTGGCTTCACGTTTTAATAAGAAACAATAATTTAAACTTCACACTGAATAAATTACCTGTAAATGAATTAACCACAGAGACCTGACATTTCCTTTTATTTATGTTAAGGATGGAGACTTTCTTAAATTACTTGTTGGCGTAAGAACATCTTTTTTATGAGGACTTTGTTATGAGTTCTTTAAATGTGAACTATTTTCAAACTTCATTGCATTTATTAAGTTTCAGCTTGAAATGTGGCTGACCCATTAGATTGTCTTTGGGAACCCAGGTTTGACCACTGAAGCAAAGAGAACATTCAATAAAGAGCTCCTGGAAGGCTCGTGTGGAACTCACGGTGGTTGGATGATGGTTGTGTAGTATTCTGGAATGTCAATCATACTCTCGTCCCATACATTTCAGGCAATAAAAGAAATAGCTGTCTCCTTTTTCAATAAAAGAAGTAGCTGTCTCCTTTTTAAGTCACACTTCCTTTAGCATCTGAAATATGACAATAACTTTATTGTATATCTGCATCTTAAACCCTCATATTATGTAAATAATCTCTCTTAAAGTCATTAATTTTATGATAGGCCAAGCTTCTTAGGTCTGGCCAACCTATGCTCTAGTGTTAGAACTAAAGAAAACATTCACTTATCCTTGGAAACTATGGTAGGGGAAAAATAAGATTCTTCAGCTCATGCTAAAATCTCCATGAGCTGTTAGCCATGCAAGAGTTTTTGTTTGTTTGTTTGCTTGTTTTCCTACCACACCTGAATGCAAAAACCATAATAAGATGCATCTTATATTTAGATAAATTTTCAAATCATAACATTTATATATTATATGTAAAAACACTGTTTTCAATTCAAATTGGGTTAAAATTAATGGGATTTCCTTAAGATTATTACTTCTTTATACTATGCATTTCAAATGGACACATAGAAGAACTTCCACTTTTGGCCAGATCGGAGTAACTGATGCCGGAATTACCTTCTCAACAATTATAAAGCCTGACAAATACATGCGGACATTGTCTTCAGGCATTGAACCCTAGGCACTGCAGGGCTGGAGTCCGTGACAGAAAGGAAATATGTGAGGTGATCCCCCTTCATTCACCTTGGCTCTCCACTTGGGGACAGTTTTTTAACTTCAGCATCAGAGGTATAACTAACAAAAGAGTAGGGTGGTCCTAGTGACCTTCAGAAAGAAAGCACATTTTGGCGTTTGGGGCTCAGGATATCAGAGACTTGCACTGGGGAGAGGGGAAGCAGAAAGTTAGACAAGAGTAAGGAGGAGGGCAATAGCTCTCCCTCCCCCTCCCCCTCCCCCTCCCCCTCCCCCTCTCCCTCTCCCCGGTCTCCCTCTGATGCCAAGCCAAGGCTGGACTGTACTGCCGCCATCTCGGCTTGATGAACCTCCCTGCCTGATTCTCCTGCCTCAGCCTGCCGAGTGCCTGGGATTGCAGGTGCATGCCACCAGGCCTGACTGGTTTTTGTACTTTTTGGTGGAGACGGGGTTTCGCCGTGTTGGCCGGGGTGGTCTCCAGCTCCTGACCGCGAGTGATCTGCCCACCTGGGCCTCCCGAGGTGCTGGGATTGCAGACGGAGTCTCGCTCACTCAGTGCTCAATGTTGCCCAGGCTGGAATGCAGTGGCATGATCTAGGCTCGCTACAACCTCCACCTCCAGCCGCCTGCCTTGGCCTCCCAAAGTGCCGAGATTGCAGCCTCTGCCCAGCCGCCACCCCGTCTGGGAAGTGAGCAGCGTCCCTGCCTGGCCGCCCGTCCTCTGGGATGTGAGGAGCCCCTCTGCCTGGCTGCCCAGTCTGGGAAATGAGGAGCGCCTCTGCCCTGCAGCCCATCGTCTGAGACGTGGGGAGCACCTCTGCCCCGCTGCCCCATCTGGGATGTGAGGAGCGCCTCTGCCCGGCCACGACCCCGTCTGGGATCTGAGGAGTGTCTCTGCCCGACCGCCACCCCGTCTGGGAGGTGAGGAGCGTCTCTGCCCGGCCGCCCCGTCTGAGAAGTGAGGAGCCCCTCCGCCCGGCAGCCGCCCCCTCTGGGAAGTGAGGAGCATCTCCGCCTGGCAGCCGCCCCGTCCAGGAGGTGGGGGGCAGCCCCCGCCCGGCCAGCCGCCCCGTCCGGGAGGGAGGTGGGGGCCAGCCCCCGCCCAGCCAGCCGCCCCATCCGGGAGGGAGGTGGGGGGCAGCCCCCACCCAGCCAGCCGCCCCGTCCGGGAGGGAGGTGGGGGGCAGCCCCTGCCCGGCAGCCGCCCCGTCCGGGAGGTGGGGGGCACCTCCGCCCGGCCACCCCGTCTGGGAAGTGAGGAGCCCCTCTGCCCGGCCACCACCCTGTCTGCCGTCTGGGAGGTGTACCCAACAGCTCTTTGAGAACGGGCCATGATGACGATGGCGGTTTTGTTGAATAGAAAAGGGGGAAATGTGGGAAAAAGAAAGAGAGATCAGATTGTTACTGTGTCTGTGTAGAAAGAAGTAGACATAGGAGACTCCATTTTGTTCTGTACTAAGAAAAATTCTTCTGCCTTGGGATGCTGTTAATCTATAACCTTACCCCCAACCCCGTGCTCTCTGAAACATGTGCTGTGTCCACTCTGGGTTAAATGGACTAAGGGCGGTGCAAGATGTGCTTTGTTAAACAGATGCTTGAAGGCAGCATGCTCGTTAAGAGTCATCACCACTCCCTAATCTCAAGTACCCAGGGACACAAACACTGCGGAAGGCCGCAGGGTCCTCTGCTTAAAAAAAAAAAAAAAAAAAAAAAAAAGAGTAAGGAGGAGCAGAAGCTTATATGATGCTTCTCTGTGGGTCGTTGGCCAAGGGCTGGCTGTACATTGTTCCAAGAGTTCTAGCAGAGAGTGCTGCCACAGTGTTGAGAAGGGGACAGAGATACTAGGGATGCACAGTTCTGGAAGACAGTGGAATTCCAACCCTGCCAGAGTAAAGAGACTTCAATAACACCCCAGGTATTCAGTTGGGGCACCAGAATAACAACTTCCAAAATTAAGAACTCCTTACGCAGTATCATGTATAATGCCCAACATATTAATGACAAATTTTAGGTATATAAAGAAGCGGGAAATTTTGACCCATTATCAAGGAAAAAAATTGTAAATAGAAATAGACTGTGATAGGAGCCAGCTGTTATAATTAGTATACAAGAATTTTAAAACAGCTATTACAAATATGTTTAAAGACTTAAAGGAAAATATGGTAGATAAGTATTTCAAAATAAACATATATGTCTTAAAAATACTGGTTTCCAAGCAGATAGGAAATCTCAGCAAAGAAATGAACGCTATAAAAAAGAACCAAATGAAAATTCGAGAAAAGAGAAACACAAAATCTACAATGGAAAAATTAATTGAATGATTGGATTAGAGATGGAAGGAAAAAAATTGTCAGTGAACTCAATGACAGATCCATAGAAATTACCCAATCTGAATAACAGAGAGAAAAAAAGATCAAAACAAATAAAACTTCAGTGACCTGTGAGATACCAAGTGGTTTAACATACATGTTATTGTGGCTCAGAAAAAGAGAAGAGTAAGAATGGAAGGAGAACAAAAATTATCTGAAGAAAAATGGTCAAACTTTTTCCATATTCAAATGAAGAAACATCAACCTATGGAACCAAGAAACTTAGCAAGTCACATAGTAAAAAGAAAACTATGCCAAGAAAGATTATAGTCAAACTCCAGAAAAGCAAAGATAATGAAAAAATCTTAAAAGTAGAGGAGGAAATGATGCCTTACATTTGGAGAAACAACAATTATAATGATGATTGACTTCTCAGAAACAACTGAGGAAAGAAGACAATGTGATGAGATCTTTAAACCTCTGAGATGGGAGAGAGAACATTTTTATATAAATAAGTCCTGAGAAAATGTATTGCCAATAGACCTTTTATTCAATATTACAAGAAATATTGAATAAAAGTATTTAATATGAAGGGAACTTATACCAGGTGGAAACCCAGATTTATATGAGGAATGGAAGAGCACAAAAATACATGGGAAAATATTTCAGGAAATAAGGCTGGGCGTGGTGTCTCACGCCTGTAATCCCAGCACTTTGGGAGGCTGAGGCAGGCTGATTACGAGGTCAGGAGATTGAGACCATCCTGGCCAACATAGTGAAACCCCGTCTCTACTGAAAATACAAAAATTAGCTGGGTGCGGGGCGCATGCCTGTAGTCCCAGATACTCAGGAGGCTGAGGCAGGAGAACCACTTGAACGTGGGAGGTGAAGGCTGCAGTAAGCCAAGATCATGCGACTGCACTCCAGCCTGGGTGACAGAACGAGACTTTATCTCAATAAAATAAAATAAAATAAAATAAAATAAAATAAAATAACTAAGGGATTTTTAAAAATTTCTGAATTAGACAAATAACTGTTAAAGCAAAAAAGAACTATTGCAAGATGGGGCTTATAATATATGTAAAATGAATGACAGACAATTGTAGAAAAGGAGAAGATGGAAAACTACAAGATCCTTTTATTTGTGAAGTGTGAAATATGAAACATAAAGTGAACAAAATTATTAGAATGTTAAAAATTAAAGATTCTTTTTGTAATATCTCTAGCAACCATTAAAAAATAATTAAAAGAGCTAAAAAGCCAATAACAGAAATAAAATTAAATACTAGCAAGTATTTTATGAACACGAAAGTGGCAAAAATAAAAGAAACTAACAGAAAAAAAGGGCAAATTGCAGTAAATAGCAATATGATAAACTTAAACCCAACCATATCAATAATTACATTAAATGTAATAGGAAGAAACCACTCTAATTAAAAGGCAGAGATTATCAGGTTAGATTATAAAGCAAAATTCAACTGTCTGCTGTCTGTAAGAAACACATTTTAAATAGAAAGGTATAAAGAGGTTGAAAGGAAAAGGATGGAAAGACAGACCAAGAAAGTGGTAAACAGATAAAAACTAACATGCCTATATTAATATTAGACAAAGTAGACTTTGAAACAAGAAGTATTACCAAATACAAAGAAGGATAGTTCATAAAAATAAAAGGGCACATTCTATAGGAAGAAGTGCAAATGCGCACATAAGCTATTTGTGTTGTAAACCAAAATAGTGTCTGAGTGAGATTTCAATCAATTTAGAGGTTTATTTTGCTGAGGTTGAGGATGCGTCCAGGATAAAGAGACATAAGCCACTGTAGGATCTGTGACACACACTTTTTCAAAAGAGAGTTTTGAGGGCATCAATATTCAAAGAGGAAAAAGCAAGCTGGAGTGGAAGAAGTTAAAAACAAGGGAGAGGATAGACAAATGAGATGAACAGTAACACTCTTTTGAGGCTTTGACTAGTGCTCACTGAATCCACATGTTGCATGTGAAAAGGAAGGAGCAGAGGAACAGTCAATTACGTATAAGCAGAGGAACAGTACTCATGCTTAGTAAATCGAACTTTATATAAGATAAAGTAAACAGGTAGAAGAAATCAAAAATGCATTTACCTCAGGGCAGGTGGATGGACAATTTCTAGTCTCCTCTTGACCCATACCCATGAAGATAAGCTGCTAATTTACATTGCCAGGGTAAGGGAGGCCACCAGGGGAAATATATAGTCTTCTACTGTATAGCTATCTGTTTCAGAACAAAAGGAAAGGCAGTTTTTTGCTTGACTCAGTTTCCGAGATTAACTTTTCCTTTTGGCATAGTGAGTTTGAGGTCCTGAGATTTTATTTTCCTTTCACGATATGGATACATGTGTTTTCTCTCTTAACTCTCAATTCTTGCACCATTCTACCCTGATTCAAGACACTTTCCTATGCTCCAGAGTCTGGAGAACTAGAATTCACATATCCCAAACTTTCTTGCATCTAGAGTCTTCTATGTGGCCTAGGATTACAACAATCAAATGTACTCATGTGAGGTTTGGAAGGCAAAAGTGAGGCAGAGGCTGTGCATCTGCTGTTTTTGCTGGTAAGCACTGTCGAAGATGTGCTTGGGGTTTTTACATCAATGTTAGTAAAAGTCTCAGGGTCTAGTAGTTATCTTGGGTGTCAACTGACAAGAAATAGGGCAACCTTTTGCTAGTCTCGAGCATAGCAAGTACTGGAGCCAGAAGATTCACCAGATTATCTGACTGTGGCGGCCTCCTTATTATACTGGCCCTTATTTGGTGGGTTGATTCTGCAGCTAAAGGGTTCCTGATCACTGGAGGGTCAGGAGTTCCCTTGGTGGCCAAGTTCTGCCATGAGCCTTTGGGACACATTTTAAAAATCTCAACAGAGTCTGTTACTTTGGCACTTCTCATGCTTTTATAAACCAATTAATGACCTGTTGTAAGTTCTTTCCTGTGTAAGACAGCTAAAAAGAGGATTCTATTCTCAGCAACATAATCTTAACAGACAGAGCCAATCTTCTACCCACAGATATCCAATTTAGGTACAAAGTTGACTATTTGTATTAGTTAGGATGTGCTTGAAACACCATGCCTACTGTGTTCTTTAGATGAATTTCCATCATCATTTAAGACTTAGATATCTCTTCTGTGAAGGTCTCCCTGACTGTTCTTCAGGGTTACTTATAACTTCCCTCATCTATGTTTCCACCACATTTTGCCTATACCTTTTTTAGTGGATTTTTACATTGTATCATATTATATGTTATTTACAGTGTTTCATGCTATTTCTTTTCCTGTCTTTTTCCTCCACAAGCCCATGAGATTAAAGAATATCACATCCATACCTGCATGCCTATATCTAACAGAAGATGTAATATACTACACATTCCAAATGCGTTTGTGATGAATGGATGAATGTGCAATAGAAAGCTGACAAGTACATGTACCTATTTTCAGACATATGCATTTGTGTGTGTGCTCTCTAATCCTTCGAAATTAAATATGACAAATTTTATTTTATTTTTATTTTACTAAATAATACGATGGGTTATTTGATAGATAGCCCATCTATTTCTTTCTTTTTAAAATTTTTTTATTTTTTATTTTTATTTTAAGTTCCAGGGAACATGTGCAGGATGTGCAGGTTTGTTACATGGGAAAATGCATGCCATGGTGGATAACCCATCTATTTGTATTTGAGAAATAGAAATTCTTTTTGATAAAGAAAAACTACTGATATAAAATTAGAAAATATGACCCTTATACTTAGATCATCATAATCTTTACAACTACATACACTAAAAATACTGAGCACTTACTCTAAGCCAGGCACCAGGCTAACATCATTGCATTTGATCCTATGGCATATCTAAGGCATCTCTCTCTACAAACGAGAGAATTGAGGTTCAGAAGAGTTAAATAACTATCCATAGTCACACAGCTGGTAAGTGCCTGTAGCAGGCAATTAGGGCTCACCAGATATTTGCGTTTCTTTCCATTTCCCAGCCTCCTTTATAATAAGGTTAGGGCCCTCTCACTAGTTCTAGTCAGTGGACCAGGTGTAGAAGTGACAGGTGTCACTTCTGGGTAGAGGCAGTAAAGAGTTGGTGTGCTCCTTCCTTACTCTCTTCCCCTGTTGTTGGAAACCATGTGTTTCAGAGGGTGTAGACTACAAAATGAAAGAGACTGTAGATTACAAAATGAAATGCATCATATGAGTGAGAGATAAACCTTTATTGTGTTAATCTACTGAAATGTTAGGGTTTATATGCTATGCCAGCGTGCTCTGTCTTATCCTGATGAATGCAGAGACTAGGTTGCCATCTAACCCATATCTGTTTAACTCCAAATATCTGAACCACTCTCTGCTGCTCATTGTTCTCTTGGAGAAACAAGATAGATACGCAGCCATGAGAGACTGAATGACAATAGAAAATAGGGAGGAAGGGCCCACATGAGTGAGGCTGTAGAAATACATTCAAGTGCTCAACAAGGGTAGGGCTGGTGAGGAGGTATAAAGCACAGGACTGGGACCAGGGCTATACATATTGGGCAGAGAGGAGAGAAGCCAGAGCTCTGTGGTTCTCACAGAACCTGCCTTTACTCTCCTTATCAACAGTCCAGTTTCCTGATTCCTTCCCTCTCGCTGGCCACATGACAGTGATGAGCACTCTCATAGTCACCATTTGGAACAGAAATCCAGGAAAAAAAATGGTGCATAGACTCAGTTGCCTATTGAGAGAAGATCGTACAGGTTAGCTCTGTGTCCATCTTCAGATGTGGTGCAAGGTCACTGCAGAAGTTTTGTCTGAAGACTCCCCCAGGCAAATAAGCTTCAGCACACACTACCCACATGTCCTCACCCTGTTCCTGGCAGGTGCATAGTTGACAAGTTAACGTCCTAAAAGATGGTTGAGCTTGTGAGAAGAAATTTCCCCTTGGAAATACCCATGTTTAGAAGGAAGGAGAATATATATTCAAAAGTAAATCTCTTGCATTGTGTAGAATTGCCGCTGTTTTGATTTCATTGTGATTAATTCATATCGTGGGCATGTTTCATAGATTTGAAGTAGCATCATTATTTATTAATAAAAGCAAACAATCACAACGGACCATAGTTTGAAATAAAGACATCTGATTTCAGGTTTCTACTATACCACTTCATAGCTTTTGATGTTGGGCTGGTTATTTAATCTGTCAAAGATTCTATTTCCTCAACAAGGGCATGGGAATAATATCTGATGATCAAATGAATCTATTTATTTATTCATTCTACCTGCACTCATTGAGCACCTACTACATAGTGTGAGACCGAGGAAACATAAAAAATCAATGGGAAAGAAAGCTCAAAGCAAATGTCATTTATCTCTAATATTTGCTTCCATTCTGCTTAAAGGTCCCAAATTCCTGTTCTGATCCCAAGCAATCATTTCTACAACAGCCACCCCCAGTGGCGAAATGGATGGAACACAGACCCTGCTCCTGGGCAAACACTTTAAAATTAGTCAGGTCATCTTTCTAAGTGGAAACCCATTGCCGTATATCTGATGACAAACCCTCAGTGATGCTGCAGTCTGGTGCCTTAGCTGCTCCATCGGACTGGAGAGCTTGAATATTAGAAATAATCCCTCAGATGCATGTGCTTCTGAGCTCATTTCTTTTAGATGAGAAGGGGATACCAAATGTTGCTGAGCCCCAGTTTTCTCACCCACCAAATGGAGGACATAAAAGCTCTTATCTTACAGAGTTTTTATCAGGACATGAAATTAAACATGTGATGTGCTTAGCAAGTCTCTAGTGTGTAGTAAGTGCTCAATAAATCCTTATTATTATCATCATAAACCTCCACATAATACCCACATTTCAACTTGCCCTTTCATCTCAGTAAATTGCTCCATTTCCATGAATGCTTCCTCAATGCAAAGATGTTTCCTTTCCCTGAGATCTAAGTCAGAGATATGACTGGATGAGAATGTGACCAGCAGCTTCTCTTTGGCTACCAACAGGGTAACTTCTGTTTGGAAACTTTTATTCATTACAACAAGCCACCTGGTTCAAAATCAATAGTGTGAGAAAACACTCTGTAGGGAAGAAGGATTTCATGGGAAAGAGTTCATGCCACGTCATAGGCTTTGACTGTTTCTCCTCCAAATATCCAAAGGCCAATGTCCTACCCTAGGGAAAACAAATGGGAGGCTCTTGGCACCCAGTCTGGCTTTGCAGTATTGAAAAAAGGCATATAACTTTTCAAATTTCCCCGTAAGAGGGAATAAGAAGTGTGGAGCAGATACCTTCATAGAAAAGGTCTGAAAGAGCTTCAGAATCCCTAGCTGACTGGTAAAAATGTCTCTCCCAAAGCTATTCAGTAAATACTGGAGGAAGTAACTGCTTTTTCAAATGTGAAGACAGCAACACAAAACTTCAAGAAACACATAAAATCAAGGGAACATAACATCACCAAAGGAACACAATAATTTTCCAGTAACCAATGCCAAAGAAAGTAGATATATACAAATTGTCTGACAAATAACTCAAAACAATTGTTTTAAGGAGGATCAGCAAGCTATAAGAGAACACAGATAGACAAATAAATGATATCAGGAAAACAGTATGTAAAGAAAACAAGAGGTTCAACAAAGAGATAGAAGTCATAAAGAACCAAATCAGGAGCTGAAGAATTCAATGAATGACATGAAAAATAAAATAGAGAGCATCAGCTTAAGCAGAAGAAAGAATCTGTGAACTCAGAGATAAGTCATTTGAAATTATCCAGTTAGAGGAGAAAAAAAGAAAACAGAACAAAAAGAAATGAAGAAAGCCAAAGAGAAACTTCATAAAGCTACCAGCAGATTTCTCAGCAGAAACCTTGCATACCAGCAGAGGGTGGGATGACATATTCAAGATGTGAAAGAAAAAAAACTGCCAACCAAGAATACTTTACCCAGCAAAGTAGGGGGGCACATAAAGACTTTCCCAGACAAAACTGAAGGAGCTCATCGCTGCTAGA
The DNA here is from genome assembly GCF_000001405.40 of Homo sapiens. NCBI lineage: Eukaryota > Metazoa > Chordata > Mammalia > Primates > Hominidae > Homo > Homo sapiens. The sequence goes on from NC_000006.12 coordinate 159,415,812, forward strand.
CCTGCATTACAAAAAATTCTAAAGGGAGTTGTTCAAGCTGAAATGAAAAGATGCTAATTATAACATGAAAGCATTTGAAAGTGTAAAACTTACGGTTAAGGATAAGTATATAGTAAAATTCAGAATACTCTATAACTGTAATGATAGTACATAAGACTTGTAACTCTAGTTTAAAGGTTAAAAGGAAAAAGCATTAAAAATAACTATAGCTATAATAACTTGTAAGATGCACAATATAAAAAGATGTCAATTGTGACATCAAAAACGTCAAATGGGGGAGTAAAACAGTTAAGTTTTTGTATGTGATCAAAGTTAAGTTGTTATCAGCTTAAAATAGACTGTTACAACTACAATATGTTTTATGTAAGCTGCATAGTAACCACCTATAAACAAAAACCTATAGTAGATACACAAACTATAAAGAGAAATGAATCAAAGCATACCACTACAGAAAGTCATTAAAACACAAAAGAAGACAGCAATAGAGGAAGAAAGGAGCAAAGGAACTATAAAACAGCCAGATAGCGATTAACAAAATGGCAAAATTACAAATCCTAATATTTGTCAAGAGCTCTTCCAAGATAAAGGGGTTTTACAGAGTTTGATTCAAGAAGAGACTTTATAATACTGTACAGACAGCCATGTATCTAAATCCTGAAAGCCCAGGAGTCTGTGTGACTCAACAGAGAAGGATAACCCCTTCAAGATATGCTGGGAAAGTTACCATTTTGCTAACTCCTCAAGGCAGTGTCTCCAGGAGCATCTAATGGGACTACTTTAAGTCTCTTGTGTGTGTATGTGTGTCACTAGAAGCTCTTACTTTGGGGACCCCAACATGTATCATATCAAATTTATTAAAATGTACTTACATGCTACAATCAATATAAGTTTTGCTACTAAGAAAAGTCCAGGTGGCATCCCTCATAGTAGGGACAGGATATATTATTTAGGCAATGGTGGGAGAAAACAAGTTTACTTTATAGGGAAAAATTAAGGTAGATCCCACCACATCTATGGCCACTCTGTTCCCTTTTCTGCCTCTGCCTGAACTTGGTCATGGGCTTCTTGTCTGGCCCACTTGCTCCAACTGTATCATTGACACCAAAATGTCCCTCAGGGTATTGAACTTAACTTAACATTCCTGGTTTGAGGTTTTTGATGGGTCTTTAAACAGAGAGAGTGCTTTTAATTAAATCATGTTTATAATTAGTGGAGCACATGAACTCAGTCATCGGTTTCAGCGTTTGCCAACTGCTGAGTTATTCACAGTTGAAAGCTGGCCTGCGCACATGCACAACCACAGCTTTTGAAGGAGCTCTGGGCCCTGCTCACTTTGTTTGAAAAGGGTACACACCAGGATTAATTTCCACCCTGGCCAACAGCTAGGAAATATCCCAATTCTAGTTTTGAAAGTGACTGACGAATCACAGCCCCAGCTCACTCAGTGGCAAGTGCCAAACTGACCTAAACCTGGGATGGAGGTGGGGCAGGGAGAGCTGACCATGAAATCTTGTCTATCCTCATGTGCTTCCATGGACATTTCTGGTTCACATTCCCAGCAGTTTTTATGAAGTGTGAATCCCAATGGCTCCACAGAATCTGCTAGCATGATTATGACTCATTTAAGGAAAGAAAAATGGAAGTAGAGAGAAAGTCAGTGAGTCTGCAAAGCTCACCAGGGGCAGAGGCCAGTGGACAGGCAGGTCCAACATGTCTGCTTGCCCAGGGCTTTGGGTTCAGAGAAGCCCTGAGAAGCCCATACTTGTATAAAAGGGCTCCAAGGACCACTCTAAGCTGTGAGCTTTGTGATGGGCATTAGCCTTCAGAATGGGGAGAAGCAATGTGAGGGTGTGATGTGAGGCTCTCTTAACCAGAGATCCAACAGGAGAATGTCTCATCCAAATAGTCAGCTGGAGCATTAGGCCTTTGATAGGTAGGGAGCTGGGCAGGGAAAAGGGATACTGACCAAAGGGGAAGGAGGCTAGAAGAGGCAGAAGACTTTCACAGAGTCATGATGATCTGACTTATAATCTGACTTGTAACTGTCCAGATGCTGACAAGTCCCATAGGAAATAAGTATTACATTCCTCTGCCTTATTCTTCCTCCTTGTTAAATGGGCAAATAAAGTCTGAAACTTTTAACATGACCAGCAGTCGCTGGATGATTCGGCTTCTGCCTAATACTTAATGTAATACTTCATTAATACAAAATAATCTATTCGATATCCATGTGGGTTGTAAAACATAACTATAAGAGGAACATCTGTGAACTCATCACTCAGCATAAGAATCACTAACCAGACTGTTGCCAATACCTTTGAAATCACCTATATGTTTCCTCCTGAATGACTGGCATATGAGAAGCAAAATCCTCAAATTTGCATTTATTGTTGCTGCTATTAACCGCGGTGAAGTTATGTAACTTTAAGCAATACACTGCTTAGTTTTGCCTGTTTGGGGGCTTTATAAAAAATAGTACCATAGTGAATGCAACTTTCTCTGACAGACTTTTTATACTCAGAATTTTTTCCAAGATTCATCTAGTGTGTTGCTTGTTGCTAGAGTTCATTCATATTGCTAGCTATTTAATATGCCATTGTGTGTGAATACAACACGTTTATTTACCCAGTCCCAATAATGAACATTAGGGTTGTTTCCAGGTTTTTGCTTTTACAAATAAAACTTTCAGGACATACTTGTACCTGTTTTCCAGTGCACATGGGCAAAAGTGTCTCTACGATTCACATATACATACCCTAGAAGTAGAACTGATGGGTTGAAGAGGATATTTATCATGTCCTCAAATTTACAAGATAATGCCAAATTGTTTCCCAAAGTGACTGTACCAATTATACTCTCAACTATAGAGTATTTAAATCTTCTCCAAGACTTGGTATTTTCAGATGTATTGATTTTTGATAATACAGTTCATCAAAATGTATCTCATAAGTTCTTTGTTTACTTTTCCTTGATTATAAATGAGGTGGCCATATTTTATATGTTTATTTATCATTCATATTTCCTTTCCTATGAAATACACTTTTATGGCTTATTACTATTTTTCTACTGGTTGTTTGCTTTGTTTAGGAAGAAGATTTTCAAACATATGGTAAAGTTGAAAGAATTTTATTGTGAACACTGTATATCAACTATTAAAAGTTTATTATACTTATTTTATCAGAATATATCAATGTATCGATCCCTTTATCTGTCAGTCTGTCCTATTTTTTGGTGCATTTCAGTAGATTGCACACATCTGCACCCTGCCCTCAAACCACAGCAGCACACCTACTGTTTAAATTCAGGGGTTAACAGAGAGAAATAAATATTCACAAGCCCCTCCCAGTTGTCAAACCTTGTTAGCCAGCTTAATCCTTACCACAACCCGACAAAGAACACATTATCAAACAGAGCAGGCTCCATCACAAGTTTCCTTCAGTCAACAATTGGTACTAGCAGAGAGCTGTGAGTCCCCACCCTGTCTAGGCCTCATTGCTTGAATTTACACTGAGGTAAATTAATACTTTAATGAAGAACCTACTTTGCAGCATAAAATGTCCCTGGGTGAGTGATTGTTGAATAGTTTCCCGTTCTTCACACCTTGGATTTTTATTAGCTTCTTCCTCTCAGCCAGTAAGTTGAGACAACACTGAAGGAATGAGCCTGTTGATGGAACCCAGGACTTACACAGAGGTGCTGAACCAAGGGATGACAAGCATGACAGGGCCCAGAAGAGCCCCCAAACCCCAAGGGTAATGAAAGTCTCCAGCACTTAGTGAGCACTTGTGGGTGGCAGACACTATCCTTAGCATTCTGCTCACTTTTTTGTCACATAATCCTCACAGCAGCTCTTTGCAGTAGATTCTAGTACTGTCTTTGCATTGCAGATGAAAAAAATGGACCCTGAAATAAATAGCTCGCTCAAGATCACTCAGTTTTCAAGTGGCAAAGGCAGGGTTCATACTGCTGTCTGGATAGCTCCAAAGCCCAAGGTCGTACGGCCACACTAACCTGCTGGGGAGGGCATCGGGAGCTGCAGGGAGAGAGTGCAGTGAGGACGTGGAAAGCATCTATCTCAGAGGTCAACTTCAGCTAGGCCCAGCTGAGTGGGGGCCGTGCTTGCATGGAAACCATCTGTATTAATCTGTTCTCACACTGCTATAAAGCTACTACCTGAGAATGGATAATTTATAAACAAAGGAGGCTTAATTGACTCACAGTTCTGCATCCTGGGGACGGCTCAGGAAACTTACAATCGTGGTGGAAGGCAAAAGAGAAGCAAGTACTTTCTTCACAAGGCAGCAGGAAAGACAGAGAGGGAAAGAAAGGAACTACCAAACGCTTATAAAACCATCAGATCTTGTGAGAACTCACTCACTATCATGAGAATAGCACGGAGGAAACCGCCTCCATGATTCAGTCACCTCCCTCCAGTTCCCTCCCTCAACACCTGGGGATTACAATTTGAGATGAGATTCAGGTGGGGACATAAAGCCAAACCATACCACCATCTATCTCACAGGTCAACTTCAGCTAGGCCTAGGCTGAGCGAGGGCTGTGCCTGTGTGGAAAGCATCTATTTCATAGGTCAGCTTCAGCTAGGCCTGGGCTGAGCGAGGGCTGTTCCTGTGTGGAAAGCATCTATTTTACAGGTCAGCTTCAGCTAGGCCTGGGCTGTAAATCTATGTTAGTCTTAGACTGGATTGGGTGGGATATGTGTGGAGAGAGAGCCTGGTTTGGCTTCAAATCAGGTAAAACGGATGCTAGGAGTCCATTCCTGTATCTCGAAGTGAACTAAACCCTCCAGGGGCCCAGCACAATGAGTGTGTGTGATAGCTCTTTTGAAGACACTTTTTCAACAAATGAAGGCATCTGGTTTCTCAATGATGAAGACTTGGGAAACGACAAACTATGATGTTTGATAAAGGGACAAGCTGTTTTCTGAATGCTAGAACAAGCAGTACATGGGAAAAGAAGGCAAGAATCCAAGGAAGAGTAGGGGAAAGATTTGTAATGCTCTATTTAAACCAAAGCAGACATGCCCTGATGTGCTGGCCTTGAGGTTTCGGAAGCTGGGGGTGGGAGGAGTGATAGAAGCCACAAGCCATCATTTTAAGAAACTCATGGAGGGCTGGAGAAGGACTGGAAATTCTGAAGGAACTTTGAGAGGAAAATACAATTCTGGAAATGGCACCTGGGAGCCCACTTGTGTTGTTTATTGTAGTAGGGGCTGGCAGATTTCAGGGGGGTTGAGTTGTATTTTCCCTCTTAGTCTCAGTGAGAGTCTTTATGTTCCCTGAGGATAGGAACTGAGCCTTGGTCATTTCTATTCCCTCACCCCCTATGGATGCTCAATAAGTGTGTCCTGACCTCGGAGCCTCATGGAAAGCAAGCCTTGTGCATCCAGGTAGAGTGCAGATCAAAGCCTGTGGGCCAACTTCTAGGAATTCAGACCCGGATATTGACAAGAGACCTCTGAGTTTTGCTGCCTGGGGAACTTCTATAGATCCCTGCAATGAAAAAGATGATTATCGCTTCTTTCCTCATTTTATCTCCTGCTCAACTTATAATGAAATGAAAAGCCACAGGAAATGGGGGCTTTAAACGGTAGACGCTGTTCTCTCATCCCATTCTCCATCGGTGGTGGAAGAGGAAGAAACAGTGCACTTGGAATGAGAATACTGAACTCCTGCGATGACTGAAACAGTCAGAAAAGTTAGCAAGAAAAGTCAGTAGGGCCTGCGTTCTTCAACAGGTTGTCACTGTGGGCAACAGGACCATGGTCCTGCTGGAGACCCTCTGTGGCCTTGGGGCATTGCATTACAGCAAGCTGATGAGAGGGGGCCTGTGCAGCAAGCACGGTGGCCTCATCCTAAGCCTAAGCCCTGGACCCATGTTAAAGAATGCTGTCATTTTACATTACAAGTGCAGGTGACTTAACCCCTGTGTTCCTGCTGTGGCCTGTGACATCCGCAGATGGTAGCTCCTGGGTCGTCTCAGTCTGACTGAAGTGCCCTAGCATGGGCCAAGCAAGTTCCTAGTGAGACTGGAGGAAATCCCAGGCACAGAAGCAGAAAGGCAGGCAGGAGGTGGAAAGGGGCAGCTGTCAGCGTGCATGGGAGCGGGTGAGGGGGATGTCAGCGCCTGCTCAGCTGTGGGCCAGGGAGACGGGGGTAAGGCATTCGCATCCTCTGCCAGCCACTCCCAGCTCTGTCACTTCATGTAAGACTTTGGGCAAGCTAATTAACCTCTCCAAGCTTCATTTTCACAATGGGTAGACTTGACAATGAACGCCTTTGTGCTTAGAACAAGGCTGAACTTCAAGTCAGCCTCCTCCTCTGTCCACCCAGGACCAGGCTCAGCAGTCTGGATTTACTCCGTTCCTAAGAATGCCCGGCTTCCCTTTAGGGTCTGAAAGATTTGAAGTGGTCTGGCAAAGGAAGGAGTTCTGTCCCACAGGGTCACCGTGACACAGCTGTCCCGTCACCAGAGTGGCTTCTCGCTCATGACTCATTTTCTCAAAAAGAGGAGCCGACATGACAGTGGGAGCTGCGGGGCTGACAGTGGGGGCTGGGGGCCGCGGCTGGGCAGTGGTGGAGGATTTCTCGGTTCTCCAGAGTCAAGTCTGGTTTTGATGTAAATGCCTTCCAGACTGTTTCCCACTTGACTGACCCCCACACGCAGTCTTATCTCTGAATGACTCATGCCATGGGTCCCAAAGTGAGCATTTTTACCATAACCTTCTCGTAACCTCTGTAGATGTTCTATTGTCCTTGGAAGATGCCATTGCTGGGAAGCAGGAGGCAGTTCCTCCTGTCTGGCTCAGACTGTGGAGGCTTTCCTCGCAGGGTCCTGCTCCCTGTGTGCCCCTCACTTGGTCCAAGGCTTAGAGGTCAAATGTTCCACTCTCCTCCTGCGGTTGGTGCCACAGCCCCGTCCTCGGCCCTCTGCAGTGGATGCCTTTGGCCCCCTGCCCAGCTCCTGAGCTGTGGGCATGCTCATTCCAGTGACTGCTCCTCCCTCCTTGATCCGGGTGGTGACAGGAGTCTCCTAAGAGTTTTCGTGATAATTTTAGCTGACATGTACTGAGCACTAAGTGCCAACACAGAATTAAGTGGCTCATTTAATCCTCACAGAGATCCTATGAGGCAGGCGCTGTTCTTTGCCCCATTTAGCAGATAAGGAAACTAAGACTAGAGAGGTTTAATAACTTGGCTTGTATCACATAATCATGCCCATGAAGTCCAACTCCCGAATCTGCACCCTAATCTTCTGTGTCTCGCTCCTCCTTTCTCTTTGCACATCCAAACCTCTCCCTGATTGAGGTTCATTAAGCCAGCAGTGGGCCTGACCCAGCAGAGGAAGAGTCTTTTGTCTGCAAATTTAGAATTGGGACTGGAAGTGTGTGTTTGCGTGTGTGTGTGTGAGAGAGAGAGGCACCACATGGTAGAACCGAGATGCAAGAGTTGGGATTACCTCTTCCCTCACTACTGTCCTAGAGGCTGAGGAACCTGCCTCCCAAGACTGGAGCACAGACACGATGGTGAAGGCCTAGGGTACAGGGCTCCAGCAGCCCTCCCCGGGCCACTGCATTGCCAACCTTGAATCCATACGACATCCTGGGATCCAGGGCCACATTTTTACCTTGAAAGGCCCCAAAACCAGAGAAGATGAGTCCTCCTGAGTCCTGCATTAGTTGCTAAAAATGATGCTGGATCATACATTAAGCATAAGGAAGTTTTTCAAAGCTATGATTTGCATGTGATAACTACTTTACTTTTTAAAAATTGCTTATCAGATTCTTAATTTTTTTTTCCTGTACCTGCTTTGCTGGTGCTATAAGTATGTTCATGGTCTGCTTTTGGGGCCACCCAGCACTGTTAGTATATTTCTAATAAATTCTCCTTTTAAACTGAAAGTAGTCCATACTGGTTTCTGCTCCTTGTTCTGCCCCTCTTGCAAGCTGCTCAGTCAAGTCTGAATTCAGGGTAGGTTCACAGCTTAGATCCTCCTGCTGAGCCCCTTGCTAGCGAAGCAACAATTTGCAATGACTTATAAAAGCTTTTAGGCTAAGTTTTGTCTTTTTACTGAGTCTTGCTATTTTCAGTTGAATAGAATATAGATCTTTTAAAAATATTTCTTTAAGACTGATTCAATGAGAGTTTTTAATGATATCTTCCTAGAGACTGACAAAGACAATGTGAACAGGGAAACATCGCAAATGGGAAAAGCTATGTACCGAGGACCGGGTTAGGTCTTTAGAACCTCACATATTATTGGAGGAGGTATGATCAACAGGTTTCATTGTATTGCACACATGTAGGATGTCTCACAAATATTTAGAAAAAAGAGCAGTCAATGTCATGACCGTAATGACCCCATGAGCAAGTTTGCTGGTGCCATGAAAGGTACCAATGAGCAATCTCTCCAAAGACTCTGAGCAACATCTGGGCCAGCAGCTGCAGAAGTGTCTCCCTGGTCACTCAACTCACACAGAGCCTCAGAATGGCCTTATTGCAAAGGAATGAACTCGGTCATCGTGTCTGTGTTCGTTTCCTGGGGCTGCCATTACAAATGACTGCAAACTGGGTGGCTTCAAACAACAGGAATTTCTTGTCTCCCAGCTCTGGAAGGCAGAAGTCTGCAACCAAGGTGTGAGCAGACCCACGCTCTCTCTGAAGGCTCCAGGGGAGAATCCACTCCTGCCTTTCTCTTAGCTTCCGGTGGTTGCTGGCAATCCCTGGCCTATAGACACATCACACTAACCTCTACCACCTGGCATCCTCCCCTGTGAGCTTTCATGGCGTCTTCCCTCCGTGCATGTCTGTCTGTGTCTTCTCTTCTAATGTGGACACCAGTCCTATTGGACTAGAGCTCACCCTAATGGCCTCATCTTAGCTTGATTACATCTCACAAAGACTCTATCTCTGGATATCATTGGGGGTTAGGATTTCAACATACCGTTTGAGGGGGACACAATTCAACCCATGACAATGTCCAAACAGCCTCATCTTCTCCATCCCTTGCCCCTTAACTCTTAGTGAGGACCCAAGGCCACAGCTGTTCCATTTCCCACTGGCCCTTCCAGGCATGGTTTTCCCCACTGCCCTTGCACACTCTGGCCTCAGCCAAAGTCAGTGCCTGCATTTCCAGGTTCTTTCCTGTGAGCTTCTTTTCTTCTCAGCGGCTTCCTGCCACCCTTCGATGGCCTGCTCAGAGACCACCTTCCTGAAGCCAAAGTCAGGAGGGATTCTGGAAAGCTTTGAGGGCTCTGGCTCACTTCTGAGTCATCTGTGGCCTCTCTCCATATTTAATTTTTGTTAAGAATGGTAGTGTCATGTGCAGCCTTCTGACCCCTGCAAAGCCACGCAAGAGTGGTCTCAGCCAGGAACGTTTCCTTCCAAGGAGATAAGGGCCCTCCCAGCTCATGCTGGGCAGATCTCTTTGTTTGGGAATATCTCTCTGTTTTGGACTCAGTGTGTCCTCCTTTGCTCTGCATAAGCAGGTGTATCAATGGCCCCAGAGAGGCCCCCAGCTCTCTGTATCTTAACTCCACAGAGGAGGAGTTGGGGTCCTTCCCCTGCACATGAGAGGGGGAAGACCATCTCCCTGGCCATGGGGTACCGACACCTATGATTGATGCTGATCAGTCTGTCTCTTCTCTCTGTGAGTGAAGAGTTGTTCTATCCAATGCCTGTGTGAGCTGTGCCTTCCTCGGTGATCCCAAACCATGGAGTGTGTTGACATCCTGAGACTACTGCCCTAGGTGGAGTGCAACTCCTCCCCTGGAGGTGATAACAGCTGTCACTTGCTCAATTTTGTATTTTATCTTGCCTCTGAAACCTTAAGTACATTAAGCGTGGAAAATGTAACCTTTGTAACCTTGCAGAAGGTGCACACAAACGTATGTAGGCTATGGAGTACTTACTGAGTAAATGAACGAATGACTTGTAACCACAGCCTGAGGTGAGGTTGAGCATATTTTAAATTTGTGACTTAACACGCATGTACACACCACATGCCCACACACCCTGTTCAATTGGTTTTGACCAAGCTGACTGGCCTGTTCTGCTTTTAAAATGCTGTGGCATATGTCATGATAATGGGTTATTTTCATTCCTGTATCTAAACAAATGTGTTGGGTGTTTCATTTCCAGCACAGTATTTTGACATGGACATCATCATCACTATTCTAATTCTGGAGGATTGGCCCCAAGACCATGGGGAACTCAGTTGCTTGGATTAATAGTGAGAGAGTAAACCAGGAGGTGAAGGAAATGGAGCTGGTCAAAATGACGCACTTAAAGATCTGACCCTGATGGTAACTTCCCAAATATGGAGTCCAGAGGTATGTGGGGATGCAAGACTCATAGGAGTGGGCCTGATCTCCACGGTGCACAGTGAGTACAGAAGGCTGCAGCAGCAGTCCTAGTCTGTCCTGTGCAGCACCGTGCATCTCAGTGAACGTCCACATGGGGCAGGACCCACAGGGTCTCCAGGCTGCCCAACCACAGGAGGTACAACTCCATCTTGATCTATTTGGCACCTGGAGCAGGGCACTGGCTGTCCAACAAAGACCCATGTGCTCTTCTTGTTCCCTAGTTTCCTTATACTGACTGGGGCCATGTGACTAGCTCTAGTCAGTGAGTTCTGCTTGGCGTGGGTCAGTTTTCGGTAAAAAAACAATTAAGAGCCCATTCTCCTCATTATGCAATGAGCCCTGAAGCCATATATTGACAAGGTGGTATTAGAGGATGATTGATTCTTGAGCGGGTGGCTGGGGAAGTCTTATAGAAATGGAAAAACAGTATGTGCATGGAACAACACAGCACATATGGGAGGCTGACATTTCATGAGGGGAGCACCAAAACAGGCTATTTGCAGGGAGAGTAGTGGCAATAATGAACATAAGTTGAAAATACAAATTTTATTAACCAATTTGACAAAGTCTCTATGAAGGAAGTACTGCTTGAATCTTTATTTGATAAATAAAAAACCATCCGCACAGGGACATAGAAGCTCACCCAAGGCCCTGCATCTACTAAGAGAAACACCGGGATTGATATGGTTTGGCTGTGCCCCCTCCAATCTCATTTTGAATTATAGTTCCCATAATCCCCACATGTCATAGAAGGGACCTTGTGGGAGGTAATTAAATCATGGGGACAGTTTCCTCCATGCTATTCTCATGATAGAAAGTTCTCACAAGAGCTGATGGTTTCATAAGGGGCTTCCCCTTTCACCAGGCACCCATTCTTCTCCTTCCTGCCATCTTGTGAAGAAGGATGTATTTGCTTCCTTTTCTGCCATGGTTGTAAGTTTCCTGAGGCCTCACCAGCTATGCTGACATGTGAGTCAATTAAACCTCTTTCCTTTATAAATTACCCAGACTCTGGTACGTCTTTATTAGCAGCCTGAGAACGGACTAATACAAGGATCCAAACCCAGCCAGGCAGAACCAGCTTCCAGGCCCTTAGCCTCTCTGTGTGAGGCAAGCAATGTAAGGAACAGAGAAGGCATGATAGCCCTGGGGGGGGCCACTCCAGGATTTGAGGGCCTGGAATGTTACCTGAGCTCGCCCTCCTGTTTTGCTGGATCGATTTTATTCTTTGTTCACTTAGAAGATGTGAGTGTCCATGCAGTAAAAGACAAAATGAAAGGAGAGAAGAGAGAGACCTGAAGCAGAACATGTGCAGAACAGTGGTCACTGTCATTACCCATTGACGTCATGTACTCAGGAACAACCAAATGAGAACACGCAGAATGGTTCCTTACACATACAGGGAAGAAAGAAAATTGTTTATCAGCATGGAGGACAATTATCTTTCGGCTTCTGCCCAGCATACAGTAGCCTCCATTTGAGCTGTAGTGAATTTCTCAGTTTTTCAACTGCTGTCTTCATTTTTGTTCCTAGTATGGGGAGGTGGGTATTACTATCTTCATTGCTCTTGATTGTTTCTTTTTTTCCCTTATGGACATGTTTCCTGCATAAAGGAACTCTCTAAAAGTTCATTTTCAGGGGATTGTTTTTCTTTAAAAAAAAAAGAAAAAAGAAAAAACTCTGCAGATTTTTCTCTGCAGACTTAACGTCTGAAACACACCCAGTTCCCGCTCCCAAATAGTTTCCTCTGTACGTTTCTCTGTGTGGGTTTTCTTCCAAAGTGCCACAGGCCAGACAGGGCTCTCTTTGAGCCCATCCAAGAGGCCCTGGTGTTTCTACAGGTTACAAACACAGAAAGAAAAAGCACATTCCCCACCCCAACCCTTGCCAGAGCTTGCTCTCTCTCTTTTTAGGCAAATGATGTTTTTACAGATTCCCCTTCATACTAACAACAGTGATGGATTTTCTGTTGCAACCCTTGAAATGTCTGCACACACCATGCATTATAATCAGATAAACCCTCAACCAAGCGAAGCATGGCCGTCTCATACCAGCCACTGTCTGCAGCCTTCTCTTACCTTCAGTTCTTGCCTGGCAGCAAAACTGGGCACACTCATGTCAGCGAGAAAATAAACCGGGAATATGGAATATATTAAGCTTAAGAGGAGGGTCTGGAAGGAATGAGCACTTTATTTGCTGAAGGCAGCTTAGTTGCACCTGACATTAATAAATGAAATGAAGTCTGATCAGTATTTAAAACAACCATACAAACTGGAACATGCTCATCCTAGTGAACAGAATGTGAAGAAAATCCAGAAGTTGGCAATAAATAAACTGCCTCAACTCGGTCAGCCATTTCTATTTTCTTTCTGTAAGATATTCACGGGAATCGGAATTTTGGAGGATCTCCATGAGGTTTTACTTCTTGCAAGGAACTTGTATTCCCTTTCCATTGTAACAGAAAGTTCCAGGGGAGCATCAATGAGAAGAAGGGGATGGGCATCTGCAAATACAATATGACCTAATGCAAATTTTGCTTCCTGCTAAAACTTTTTGAGACTCACAAAGATGTATGCAAAGGTAACATTCATTAAGGTAACAATAACTAACTTTTTTTTTTTAGTATGTGCTGGATATGGACTAAGTGCTTTACATGAATCATTTCATTTAACCCTCAGTAAACTTCAACATACGTTATGCTTCCCATTTTACAGATGTAAAACTGAGACTTGGAGAGGCTTAGGGACTGCCCAAGGTTACACACCTAGCTGGTGATCCACCAATTCCTAATATCATTAACTAAAATTTAGTGATCCAGGTGCTAATCATCTGGTATTATCATTTTTTATGTGAGTAGCACACACCAGTAGTTTGCATAAAACAGAGACAGTAAAATAGGCCAATGTTACAATTTTCTATGAAAGGCACAAAGGTAATATAGCATGAGGCTTCTATCTACCAAAAATTCATAAACCATTTGTTTATGAACAAGACTCACAATTGCAGTAGACCCTTGAACGACACAGAGCTTACAGGCATGCAGTCAAAAATCCATGTACAACTTCTGACTCTGCAAAAACTTTACTAATAGTCTATTGTTGACTGGAAGCCTTACTGATGACAAAAACAGTCAATTCACATGTATTTTGTATGTTATATGTATTACATTCTTTATTCTTACCATAAAGTAAGCCAGAGAAAAGAAAATATTATTAAGAAAATCATAAGGAAGAGAAACTTTATTTACTATTCATTAAGTGGAAAAAAGTGGATCATCATCAAGGACTTCATCTTAGTCTTCTTCATGTTGAGTAGGCTGAGGAAGAGGAGGGGTTGGTCTTGCTGTCTCAAGAGTGGCAGGAAAGATGGAAAAAAATCTGCATATAAGTGGACCCGTGTAGTTCAAACCCATGTTGTTCAAGGGTCAACTGTGATTAAACTGAGTTACAATTCAAGTTAATGTATAATCTTCACTGAACTCATAGCCTATTTTATCAAAGCTAAGAATCTTGTCATAAAAAGACCAACACAAGAAAACACCACCTCTCAATACTCAAATGTTCCTCTTGATGAAGTCACTGTGGCTATTGCACTGAAGTTTCTATCTGAACGTATCAATCTGCAGAATTCTTGGGGGTGGGTGTGGTATGCAGAGAAGAAGCAAGGGCCAGAAGTCAGGGAAGAAACATGAAGAGCGCCTGGCTGGTCCCAACTTCCCTCTGGTCACACTCCCTCACCCTTTGCCGCCTCATCCCTGCTACCTATCCTTGTTGAGGAAGAAGAGATGGGAGAGAAGAGAGTAGAAAGAGAGAAGGAAGTGAAAAGAGTGTTAAAGAAAGACATAAAGAAAATGGAAAGGAACTTCAAAGGGTCTTTGCATTGTTCTGAAGGTGAGAAGGTAAAATTAAACCTCCAAAAGAAAACTTTGCACTGTTAACAACAACAAGTTTTATAATACTTGCTTTCCTTGAAGAAAAGAAAATAGGCAGAGGGAAATGAGTGGATATTTCAAGGAATGTTATATAATGTCATAATGTAATGAGGGTTTGTGTGCTCTATGATGCTATGACAATTTGCAAGATTAATCCATTCAGTCTCCCATTTTTCCAGGCAGGGATTCTCATCAGGAATTCTCATCAGGGATCTGTTGAACTTAGAGGAATCTAGAAACCTGAAAGTTTTGCAAATTATTAGTTTCCGTAATTTTTCTGGGGAATGGTTCTGAAGCTTCCAGCAGCATCTCAATGGCATTTCCCAATTCTGCAAAGATTAAGAACTGCAGATTAAGGCAGATAGATTCCAGAAACTTTCGCTTTAAAGTTCTGACTTGGCAGGCAATTGGGAATCTTTCCACAGAGTGCTTTCCTCAAAAGGATAAAATAGTGACTTTATCAGACTTTCCAGTAGCCCCAATATTGCATCAAGCCCTTTCCAGGCAAGAATCCATATCCTCTTATCATTTCTCTTATGATCGGGTTTAAAGTTTTCTCACCCTCCACCAGTTGCTTCTAAGTATGCCCTGACCTGTCAATTTCTCCTTAATGCATGGCACCATAAAGTGAGCACTGCAATCCAGGATGAGTCGACCCATGAGGAAGCAGGCACTGCCCACCTTATTTTGAACACTTTGTTTCTGTTATAAAACCAAAGATCCCAAGAAGTTTTTTGAAAGATGCGTAATCCTTTTGTCTGGCAGGGATTTTTGACAAGTAAATTTCCTAAATCTTTCCTCATGTGTTACCTCTGAACTCAGTCACTTTCGACTTATCTCATATGTATACACTTGAGTGTTAGAAGACTAAAGAGCAGGATTTTATATTTATCTCTTTTAAATTTTATCTTGTCTAATTCAGTAAATGTTTAGCAAAGTGCATCAAAGTATTCTGGAAGCTCAATTTCTCATCCAACGTTAATAGTTGTCCCTCCCAGCCTCGTGCCACTCATGGGTTTATTTATCATGATCTCAAAGGCCTATCCAAGTCTCTGGTTTCCATATGGACAGGAGCAGGAGACCAAAGACTAGCAGCTCCTCCTATCTGATGCTGATTTAGGTTGATCAATGAATCAATGCTCTTTAGCTTTAAAGCATTCAACCAATTGTCAATTCAGCAGATTAAAATGAAATTCAGCCCATATTTCTCCATCTTGGCAATTTGAATATCAGGCAATTTTTTAAGAAACTTGCTGAAACCTAGATACTCTTCTTATGCATAGCATTCTTAGATATTTTCCACTCTACCTCATGACAACTATTGCAGAGAGACAGATTTTGGCTTAACAAAGCTGCTTGGGGCTGGAATACACCTGCTTCAGGTGGTGAGGTCTGTCATTGAAGGTTGAAAACATCTGGCTGGAATAAAATAGGAAATAAATAGGAATAAAATAGGAAAGATTTGGGTATCAAACAAGAGATTGAATTCTGTATCTGTATAGTGACTTGAGACTCTGAACATTTTTGACTATAAATGATGCTTCATGGGTGTTGAGTAAGTCAAATGGTAGCTTCGGGTAAGATTTGATTCAAGGATCAATGATGTCATCATGATCCCTTTCTGTTCTTCTTTTGTGTGCCAGAGTGGTTCTCAGGCTGTCTCCCCTTACTGTAGTCAGTTGGCTACAGCACCTTACTGAGCCCAGAGGAGAGGAGAATGTCTATAGTCTAGCATGCCTTGCAAACATATTAAGACTTGCACTGATTTAGACTGGATTAGGTCATGTGTCTATCCTGCAACAATCACTGTGGCCACAGAGATGAGACATGCTGTTCTGGTTATCTATTGCAACATAACAAATCACTTATCTCCCATGGTTTCTGTGGGTTAGGAATTTGAGTAAGCTCAGCTAGGTGACTTTTCCTGGGGCCCCTCATGGATTTGCAGTCAGATGGTGGTTGGGGCTAGAACAGTGGTGGGGAAGAGGAGTCGATGGTGCTAGGAGCTACCTGGCCATCTTTTTTTCCTTAAGGCAGTCTTGAGGCCTCTCTATGTGGTCTCTCCAATTGTGCCAGTTTGGGCTTCCCCACAATATGGAGGCCTCCGGGCCATGAGACTGCTTGCATACAGTGTCCCAGGAGAATAAGGTGTAAGTTTTTGGCATTTCTGTGGTCTAAACTCAGAAATCACATAATGTCTCTTCTGCCCTACTCTATTGGTTGAAACAGTCACAAAAACCCACCCATATTCAAAGGTAGGGTACATAGACTCTATCTCTTGATGGAAGAGGGGCAAGATTCTAGAAGAAACTTCTAGAAGAACAGTCATCCTTGGAAAATATAATCTTTCACATATGCTAATGGGCTTAATCCAATCAAAACGTGGCCCTAAGCTAAAAGCCCAAAAACAATATCCCAAAGTAAGCCTGGTTGATTGGGCATGGTGGCTCACACCTGTAATCCCAGCATTTTGGGAGGCTGAGGCAGGAGGATCGCTTGAGCCCAGGAGTTCAGGACTAGCCTGGGCAATATACTGAGACCCCATCTTTTTAAAAATTTTTAAAAAATATATCAAAGTAATCCAGGCTGTTATAGATGGGAGAAGAGGGGTGTAGATGGCAGAGAACAATCCCTCCTTCTATGTGAATGGGGACCAAAGCACAGGTGCAGAGGGATGAGGTCACTGTATTCTACCTACTTTAATTTTTTAATACAGATTTCTAAAACTACTTTATCATATGACAGATTTTGCCAAGAACTTATATTTACAACCAAAACTAAACACAACAGTGTTTGATTTTTTAAAAAGAAAACATTAAGTTACACATCATTAACTTAGATCTGCCAATGGAGAATCCATCTTGATGCATTAGGCTGAGTTTTCTTTGTGCTGGTTATAAACCGATTAATGGTATTAACAAAGGTGGGGGATCAAGGAACTATTTTAAGGGGATGAACAACTAGCTTTAATGTTGCTGAAGAGAAAAGGTGCTAATTATAAATATTTCTGAGAATCTGTTCATTAAACACTTTTGAGATTACAAAAGTTATTTCTTGTCTGCATTCTGTTATAAAAGTTTTAAATTCAAGTAAGAATTCAGTAAATACAGATAAAATGTGTACAGAATAAGGCTTATTTCTTTAAAAATAGTCAATAAATCAATATTTTTGTGGTTTTGTCAAAGTGACATTGACTTACTCCTAATTAGGATCAGGCTTTATATATTGTTTTTAATTGGGAGAAATATGTACCAAAATAAATATGAGATTTATTATTATAAATTCATATTTAAAAGGTAAAAAACTGCTGTGTGTCTGTGGCATTGCTGTTTTAAAGATTTCCTTGCATCCCCCCAAGAATGGCAGATAGTGTAATTACAGTATTCCTGCTGTGAACTTTTCTTTGTTTTCTAAATACAGTAAGTGTATCCGAAAACTTATTAAAATGAAATCCCCCTACCCTCTCACTCTTCGTGACTGTCAGCTTCCGATAAGCCCATACTGATGGTACTGATGGCGGCCAATTGCCCCTTGGCATTTGCTTTATTATAATTGCCCAATGGGTTCATCCTGCCTGCTGCACAGATAAAACCAATCTTCTGAGACAGCAGTATTACAGTAGAGAAAGAGTTTAATTATCACAGGACTAGCCAAGTGGCAAATGGGAGTTTATGACTCAAATCAGTCTCCCTGAGAATTCAGAGGCTAGGGTTTCTCAAGGCAGGGGACTAGGGAATGGGGAATGCTGATTGGTTGGGTTAGGGATAAAATCATAGCTGTCTTCTTACACTCTGTCAGTTCCTGGGTGGGATTGCAAGGTCAGATGAGCCAGTTTCATGGTATGGGGTACCAGTCCAGGTGGCACCAGCTTGTTCATTGGAATGCAGTCTGAAAAATACCTCAAGTACCAATCTTAGATTTTGCAATGGTGATGTCACCTATAGGAGCAAATGGGGAAGTTACAAAGCTTGTGACCTCTGGCTACAAGGCTCCTGAACCATAATTCTAATCTTGTGGCTAATTTGTTAGTCTTGCAAAGACATATTTGGTCCCTGAGCCAGGACGTAGTTAGTTTCAAGAAGAGACTGTTATCATCTTTGCTTTAAAGTTAAACTAAATTCCTCCCACAGTTGGCTTGGCCTATGCCCAGAAACAAACAAGGACAGCTTGGAGGTTAGAAGCAAGGTGGAGTCAGGTCGGATTTCTTTCATTGTCATAATTTTTCTATGTCAGATTTTTCTCACTGTCATAGTCTTTGCAAAAGCAGTTTCATTGAACTCCATTCTGCTCATGGAACAGTAGCTGCCAAGACTGGAGCTGGGGTGTTAAATGCGTGGAAAGACACTCAGCCTATGCCTCCCTCTACCCGCCAACACCCACAGCCTGCCTGTCAACAGCCCCATGCTCAATCATCCTAGGAATCTGCTCTACTGCTCTACTGTTTGGCGGTGGCTCTAGATTACTGAAGCTTTCTTCTCTCAAATGCTTGCTGTGCCAACAGTGTGTTTAACAAGGAACAGCTAAGACATTGAGTGTTCAAACAATGGTCAATTGTTGGGTCTGTATGAATTCAAGCAGCAGACTTGCCTGATTGCTTCATTTTTCTTTTTACCAGTTTGACTAACACCGCCTATTATTTTAACATTAGGTAGACTTTTTTAGTCACAAAAACCTACTCTCCATTTTTTAATGCCTTGCTAGATATACTTATTGTTGAATGTATGGTTTCTCTGCCTGTTAGCAGTGTTTTACCAGCTTTTGCCAACACAGCTTGTGCCCTATCTGCAGAGGACAAAGAAATGCAGAGGCCTAGAGAACAAGTCCATGCTCTCCCGTTCCCTGTTCAATGTCACAAGAGAGGCGCTCCCACACACCCTGTTGCACTGGAATGGACACAGAACCCTCAAGCTGTCAACAGTGACTTCCCACCCTGGGACCCCCTTCCCTCTCCCCTCTTCTGGCCTCCCCAGTCACTTCCAAGTTCCCATTTCTTCCACTTCTTCCAAATAATGCCTGCCCATCTTCACAGTGAGCACCTGGACACCACACTCACCTTCTCACCAGAAGTGCGAGTATCTCAGAGAGCGTTTCAAGGCAAGCCAAGGGGCAGAGCAACAGTGACTCTGGTGGCTAGTCCAAAGGCAGTGGAAAGTGGCCACTTCCCTGGGAGCCATAAGAAGGACCTTACAGTCTCACTTGGGCCCCATGAAGCTCTGGAGTATCATTCAAGGACTCCACATTTAGATTCTCCAAATGGCCAGAAATGTGCTGATTAACAGTTCACGAGGAACCACGTGGGTGCCGTAGGGTGCTGAAGGTTGCATGGCTGCGAGAAGATGTTCAAATATACCTGATAGGTGCTTCCTGCCCCATCCCACAGTATTAACCACGTGTTTCTGAAATTTTGACACCTAGATCCTCACTGACACTGGAGGGACTGCTCCCCCCAGGGCTAGTCAAGTCCTAGAGACAGCAAATGACTCCCCCATGAGTGTGCCCTTCATGTGCAAACCACACAGTCCAGAGCCCACATGCAGACCCTGTCTCCTCTAGCAGGCTCTGCCATGCTGGGCCTCTATTCCCCTGCCGTAATCACCCCAGGGCCAGGTGCCAGACAACTGGAAACAGCCCCTATGCCCCAGACCCAACAGAAATTATTCACACTAGCCGGTCCTAAGCCTGCTCATCCTATCTCCCCAGTTTCTTCCCTCGGAAACCTCGGCCGAGGCTCTTGCCTGTGTTTCCTCTAGCTTCTCTGCCACCTGCCCAACCCTGGTGCTTCCGCATGGGGCCCTGAGCATCATAGTGTGACCCTCCTCTCGGGAACTGAGTGACAATGGCAATCGTCTCATCTGTTGGCTTCACCGCACCTGAAAACCTACAATTTACACCACCAACCCCACTTTCTGCCAGAAAAATCTGTCCTAACCAGCTCCTCTGGCTGGGTTTATACATATTCTTATCACAGCTGCCAAGATCATGGTCACCAACAGGTCTTATCTGTGCAAAGGGGATAATGATAGAGCGAGGATGGTATGAAGAGCACGCTAGGCACACGCAGTGAGCTCTCAGCCCGGGTCTGGCGCTGGGAGGTGCTTGGTGCATCTCAGCTCTGATTACGATGATGACAAACTGTGCACCTCAAGGCCTCCAGGTCACCTCTGAGTGCCAGACACTTCCCATTCCAGCCCCTGTGCATTATCCTGAGCAATGCTTGTCTGCCTGTTAACACCAGCTCTGCAGATGAGAAGCCTCTCAAAACCCTTCCCCTGCACACCTCAGCAGGAGCAGCTGCTGCAGCGACACTGGGAACCCTCGAGTCTGAAGCCGGTGGGGAAGGGGCTCAGAATCTGCTTACCTGAGAGCTCAGGGAGCCTCCAGAGAGATGATTCACCTCACCTGGAGAGAGACAGCCAGAAAGGGCTGCTTACCCAGCAGCCGCTCCTCTGCCGTGCAGGAGAAACAGCAATTCTTTCCCTTAGATTTGTCTCTGGCCCAGAACCACCTCCATCTGATTCCTGAGGAGAGACGGAGGTGGGAACGGGGGTTTAGGGGTTATGGTTGAAGCTGAATGAGCTTCTTTCTCTTAAAACTCCAAACATCAACATTCAAGGCAGTACAGCTGACGGAACACAAAAGAACATCAACAAATATTGGACTCCAGTTAATGACATGTGTGGGAACAAAGGCACTGATGTTTGCAGCTGACTTTGAAAAGTCTAAAAACAATAAGCTGGATGGATGGGTAGCTGCACAGATATGTGGAAAGGAAAGAGAGCTGACGGCCAACAGCTGCGATGTATCTAGATGTGGCTATGTGAACCACCGTATAATTCTTTACATTCTTCTGTATGTGTAAAATATTGGGGACAAAAGGGACCAGAGACATCTTCCTTCTTCAGCATGGAAGGCAGAGTGGCCCTAGTATCCCGGGCATTCCAGGCCTCCGCAGCAGGAATGGAGGCAGATGGCAGCCAAGCAGCTGGGGAGCCGGGCAGTGGCAGGGGCACCTGGCAAAAGGGGCTTCGCTGCGGAGCACCCGAATCAGTGCAGGGCATCTTGGAGAGCTTCACAGGAGGGGAGCCCCCACTGCCGAGCAAAAGAGGGAGAAAATGTTGGGGCCACACAGTGCAGGGTGGACTTGCTCAAGAGCCCCCTGGAGACCCATCCCAGGACTTATCTGAAGACACTTTGCAGATGTCTTGACCCCTGCATTAAGAGACCCAGTGGAACACTGGTTATAGCTAGAAATGCACATATTTCCCAAAATTACTCTACAGATTTGTTTCCATCAGGAAATTTCAAATCCTCAAGTATAATTATATTTGACTTTTTTGAGATGAATCTTCTTTTTGTAAAGTATCACTTCCTCTGGAACAGCAGGGTTATTATTTAACAAGTTTAGCAAAAAACAAACAAAAAAAAACATTTCAAATAGAACGTAATCAAAGTTCTCTCCCTGATCCATCCCAATTGTATACTTCATCTTTTCAATGATGAATTGGATTCCTGTCTATGAAGCCCAGAATCCATTAAACTCCCCAAACTGGGTCTTAGTCACAGCACAACTGAGAAGCCATGTTTCAAACATGGAAGTGAGAATGAAGGACTTGACTTGCCAAATTACTGCCACACAAGCCCGATTTTCTCTACTAGCGGAGGCAGACCAATGGGAAGTGAACACCGAGGTCCATTTGTGAGTGAGCTCCCAATCCATGAGCAAAATAGTTTTGAAAACTTTAGGGAAACATTTGAATATTTTCCAGATATTAAGGACTCTTCCAACTTCTTTATTCAAATCCAAGTATGAATGACTCAAAAACATTAATTGAATCTTCCCACATGGACCAAGTTTTTTAATGAACATAAAAAAGTATGACTGATTGACATGCAAAAACTAGATGCAAAGATACAGAAGACTAATTTCTTACATCTCTCATGGACAAGATACTTATATCTTAATTACTTTGATTCTGTTCATTTGTAATAGGTCTCCTAAACTATTCACCAGCCAGCAATTTCTTATTTTGCAAATGCTGTCAGCCATCACTGGGGCTGGGTGGTATCAATAGGACAGAATGGTGGAGGGAACTCAACCGACACACAGGTTCTTTCCAGCTGGGTGTGCAGGATCAGGCTGATGCAGGTTGTGCTCTCAACTTTCACATAAATCACTGCAGAGGTGGCTGGGGCTCAGAGACCAGACAGACACATGGTGAGAGGAAATGCAAAGGAGATGTCGGCAAACAGGACAGCATCCTGAGCACCTGGCAATAGAAAGTGCCAGCTGGTAGGGACAGGGGCTCCCAGAGGCCAGGCAGGAACATGCTCAAGGGAACATGACAAGGATTCCTGCAGAGATTGAGTCACAAAGACCCAGCAGAGCACAGTCGCTCTGTGCTCAGAGTAGGAAGCTGAAAGCGGTCCTGAGTTAACATCATGAAATCCCCCCTTGGGAGACAGAACCAGCCTCAGAGGCTGGGGGCAAGGCTGACCCTAGTGGTAACCCATGGTGGGGTCACAAAGGCTATGACAGGAGCCTGTGCATCAGATATTGTATTAGTCTGTTCTCATACTACTGTAAAGAAATACCTGAAACTGGGTAATTTATAAAGAAAAGAGGTCAAATTGGCTCACGATTCTGCAGGCTGTACAGGAAGCATGACTGGGGAGGCCTTGGGAAACTTTCAGTAATGGCAGAAGGGAAGCAGCACATCTTACATGGCTGGAGCAGAAGAAAGAGAGCTAAGGGGGAAGTGCTACACACATTTAAACAACTAGATCTCTTGAGAACTCACTCACTATCATGAGAACAGCAAGAAGGAACTCTGCCTCCATGATCCAATCACCTCCCATCAGGCCCCTCCTCCAACACTGGGGATTACACTTTAACATGAGACTTGGGCAGGGACACAAATCCAAACCATATCAGATACCAAGTCAAAGCTTTGGGGAAACAGGGGATCAAGTATGACCCTATCCGAACAGGAGTGTCCTGAAAACAGTATGTGTAGTTGTTTAAAATTAATTCTCTTAAAATTCAGCATGAAATGAGGTTAAATGAATAACTGTGGCTTACCGTAAAGAAGAAATGCTAGCAGGTTGGAGCTCACAAACTTCACCCCATGCCACATTTCAGTGGGCTGAGCACAGTGTAGGCCCTTGGTGTTTGCTGGTTAGTTCTGAAGCAGGCTTCTCCAGGAGCAGAGTCAGTGGTCAACATCCATGATGAGAAATGAGGCACTAATTATCTCACTAATGGTGAGACTCTGTCACCCTCACCCCACCCTCCCCTCAATCCAACATCAGTTTGGCATCGATGTTCAAACTCTCACAATTAAAGATTAATTCCTTTGACTTTAAGCTTTATCCGCTATTGCAATACTAACTACTGTAACGTTAGTAATGGTCCTTTACCACTGAGTAGACATGAATCCCTAAAAGCCTTCCTTGAGAACATTTTGATCGAGGAAAAGAAGCAGAGAGTGTAAAAATATTAGGAAACTGGTATGGCACCAAGAGGCATGTGTGCTACAGAGAAAGTCCCAGGGAGGGGGCCCAGGAGGCAGGATTCACCACCTCATGTTTTATCTAAGACCTTCTTTACTGGATATCTCACTTGATTTAAGAACAGAGCTAATGAACTCATACAGAGCATGAAAAAAGGTTCTTTTCCAGCACATTCACTTCTTTTTCCCCTTAACCCAGGCCAGAAACAATTTAAAAGATTTTGGCAAGAAATGAATGACTGTGCATAGCCAACCATCTCCCCTGGAAGGATAACTCAAAGGACAGTGCCTGCTGAGGGGTGTCAGGGTCTCAACTTCAAAGCCGAGTTGAGCCAGATGGGAGGGGCTGCCTCAGTATCCCTGAGGGGTCAATAGGGGAGCTGACCCTGCAGGGTACTGCCTGGGGTCACAGAACCCAGGATCTATGGCTGGACTTGAAAGCAGAATTGACTTTTGAGGCTAGGTAAAACTGAACTTTAGTCCAAGAAAGAGATGAATGTTGGGTCTGGGGAATGGAGCAAACGTCAAGAAGAGAGGCAGATAAATCGCACTGGTGCAGAAATAATGAAAGCAGGCATTCATCAAACACCCACTGAGGCCTGGGCTCAGCGAGCTACCCACCAGGCAGTCTTCAAAGTGCCTTAGGTATATCATTTATTTGAAGTCTCAAACAACTCCAGGAGGTGTTAACTACTGCTATCTTGATTTTATGGATAAGAAAGCTGAGGCTGAGAAGCTAAATGATTTAGTCAATTTGTTAGTAAAATTGCTAGTTAGTAAAAAGTTGAGATAGTGTTCCAAGCTAGGAGTAAAAGGTTTTATATAAATGAGAACGCACGATTTATTACTCTCTGAAAACTTCCTCTAGTGGCTGTTAGGAAAATATTATCAAAGGATTATGATTCCTTCTTTTCCAGAGAACTCTTGCTCTGAAGCCAACCTGTAAGGCGTCTCATTTGAGCCTGCAAATCTGGAAAAATCCTATTCTGGGTAATCCATTCACAGAAAACATCAAGGAACCAAAGCTTCTTATGTATGGACCTTAGATTTCCCCAACACCAGTGGGCAGTGCAGGGGTACATTCATGGCAGAGGCGGCCACAACTCCCATCCCCACTCCTCGGAGCTCTGGCCTCCAAGGGAAAAACACCTTTTGCTTGTGTGTGAAGTTTAGAAAGAGGTTAGTTTCTGAGTCCCACTGACCCCCAAAACTGGTTTCTTCTGAGACCCTAGGCATCAGGTTAATGTTATCAAACCTATGGAGAAAAAAGAATATAGATTTTGAGAGAAAAGTAGATAAATGTTCCGTTCATCCATTACTTAAAAAACAAAACAAAACACTACTGTACCTTGAAGAACTGCACATCCACTTTGTGTCTGGCATTTGCATTTTCACATTTCATTAGGGATGACTTGGCAGGAAGCAACCCACTCCTACGCACACAGGCTTGAGCAAATGGGGCACAAGGGAATCTCTCAGAACCAAAGGCAGGAAATTGAGTTGGGACACTCTCTCCATTCCCAGTCTCTGGCTGCAGTCAGGCAGCCTCTCTAGGCTTCTCTCTGCACACCTGCTCTATGGACCCCCTTGATGTCCACTCAGAGTTCCAACTCCCTCTTAGCTTCCGTTCCCGTGTGACTTTGGCTCATTGGGGTTCTGACACTGGCCTCGGCTCTACATGATCTGAAAAATCCAAGGCTCAACTACCTGACTTCAATTTCTGGGCTTCTTCATTTATAATCTCAAGAGTGAGTTAAACACGCTCACATGAGCCATTGGGGTCAGGCAGCTACTTCTGGTCCCCTCAGCTAAGGAAGAGTAGGGAGATAAAACTACTTAATATATTCTCCACCACCTAAGACCAGCCCTGCAACTGGGCTATGGGCAATTCCAAGTGGGAGGTGTGGCTGGCAAGTTTCTACAAGTGGGAGCTGTGGCTGGCAAGGTTCTAATTCTATTAGGTGGGCATTATTATTCTCATTTTGCATATGAGGCGAGAGGCTAAAAAAAATGTATTCACCATCACAGTATTAGTAGGTGTAGAAATGGAGTTTGAATTTAGGTTGGTTTGTATCTGTGACCTATTGCAGTGTAATAAACTCGCCCAATACTTGGTGGCTTAAAGTGAAACCCGCCCCATTTACTTGCAGTTCTGTGGGTTGGCTGGGCAGGGCTCGGCGAGGATGCTCAGCCCAGTTTCATGCATGTTGCACGTGTTCTCTCCTCTGGAAGACCCCAGATGGCCTCTCTCAGATGTCTGCCCTCCGCAGAGCCTCTCTCTACTCATGGTCTTTCATCTTCCAAGGCTTCTCTTTGCTTGTGGAGGCTCATTCTTAGGGTCCCTCTTTCTTGACATGGTTTCTCCAGCCAGCCCAGTCTGGAGGGGAAGGGCAATGAACTCTACCTGTGGATAGGAGTAGAGACAAAGTCACATGTCAAAAGGGCATCGGGACTGGCCAGGATTGTAGCAGCCATCTTGGGAAACAACCTCCACAGAATCCAAACCCATGCCTGTTATGCAATGCCAACACCCCCAAGGGCCTTCTGAGATCTTTGGAACGTCTTCCAAAGGCGGCCTGAATCCCAGACTACAACTCAGGGCTGAACATGACCTCTTTGACCAGCTTGGTGTCCTCTTTGAGCCGGCACTAAGTTAAACCAGGGGAATACACAAGTGAGTCAGGCACGGCCCCTGCCTTCCCAGAGATGTAGTCTCCTGAGAGAAGGACTCGATGCAGACAAGTTAGATCAGGCTCAATCCCCTCTGGAGGACAAGAACTTTCAATGCAGGAAGCATAAAGATTGCCAATTAGTCTGAGTCTATGAAGTACCTTCTTTTTCTTGGCAATGTGTTAGACTGCGCTACTCAAAGACCTTAGAAATAAACCTTTAAACTAGGTAGTTGCTAAATTCATAAGTTTTTAAAATGTAACATGATGTTTTTTAAGAAAAAAACATACCATCTCTACCTCATAAGCTGGAAACTCAGCCAGAAACAGAGGAGAGGGGTAGACAGCAGGCACAGACAGATGGGGATGCGTGCTCCTTCTATCAATGGCAGATGCCAAAAAGCCAAACACAAGGAAACCCAGGAGGAACCCACTGTGCTTTGACAGTGTCAGGTGGTAGGAGCCAGTCCCAGGGAGGGCAAAGTTCCCAGGGTGCTCACCCTGCTGAGCCTAGATCCTGTCATTGACGACAGCAAAGAGACGTTGACACTCATGCATCTCAGCAAGGCCATGGCTCGGTGCCTCCTCCATCCTTCTCAGACCTGATCTGAGATGGGTCTATCATTTATTTTAATTCTCAAACAACTCCAGGAGGTGTTAACTCCCTGCAGTCCACCATGGGGCCCCAGCATGTGACATTTTTCTGCCCTTGGATAAGCCTGCTTGTCCTTGAAAGCCTGGCTGCTTTCCTCAACCTGCCCGCTACTTTGCCAAGGTGAACCCAAGACTCACCTCCAGCTTGCTATTTATCCCCCATCCATTACTGAGGGCCTCCCATGAGCCATGCATAGAGCTACTCCAGAGGCACTAAAATACCAAGGTATTTCACTCCGGAAGCCCACAGCCTAGCAGCAAGGACAGAAATATACATTTTTATGTGGAAACCAAAGAATATCTAAAAGCTTGCCATTTAGCAACCAGTCATTTCTTGTTTCATTTACAATTTTTGGACTTGATTTTTTTTTTCTGTTTATGTGTGTGCACACACTGTGTTTTCAGAGGTTTTTGTAGGTGGTAAATCATACTGGGAGGTTCAGGAGCCGTGTCACTTGCAGAGGTGTCACTTGCAGAGGTGTCTGAGGGGCTGATCTTCGTGCTGCAGCCAAAAATACCGTAAATAAATAATAAGCCCCACCAGATGTTAGAAACCAGGCTGGGAGGTGTGACGAGACTTCATAGCCACTGGGGTTTGAAGATCTTATCTGATGCTGATGGCTTTTGCCAAAGGGCTCCATCATTTGCAAGGAGGGGTGGGGATACTTTATATGAGGAATCTGGCTTTGCCGAAGCTTTCCAGGTCTAATTACACAGCTCCGGCTGTGTTTAAGGGAGGGGATCCTGGGAAGGAAGCTAGGCATAGGGTGAATCATTCTTGAGCTCTGAATCGGATTCCTATAAGGGCAACCTGCTACTGCCGTAGCTGCACAAACATGCCTCTCACCTGAACGAATCCTAATTTGATATTTTATTCCTAAAAGAATAAACTAGGAGCCAGTATTTTCTTGTGTGTGATTGACCTGAGAAAATGCATTTTCTCCAATGTGCCTTTCATTCTTTCCATGCTGCTCTGTCACCTTCCTCCTTCTCCCCTAATTCCCTTTCTCTTCACTCACCCTCTAGGTTTTATCTGCCCCTTTCTATCCTGGGTTATCCTCAAAATAGAAATGTACTCTCTTACGGGTAACACAGGAAGGTATTTCTTCATGCAACTTCGGACCCTGTGGGTACTGGGTCTCTTCCTCAAAGTTTTAGAATTGGATAAAGGGCTTCCCTTGTACTGAAAGCAGCTTGAGCCAGAGTATAGAATATTCTTCCTAGGGTATTTTCTAGCACCAAAGTCAGTGGCCCCTCCTGGGAGACTCAGGTTGCAAGTCTGAGTAATGAACACGGATTCCATGGAAGTCACGCCACTCCCACTGAGGACATTCCTGGCCCAGCCTCCTGATGGGAAAACGCTCTTCCATCGGCAAATGACCAGACAGCCAGGAGAGCTGGTAAATCTTAGGGAATTCAAAATTATTTGACTTTTTTTTTAAAGGCTACCCAAAATAGCCTCAACGTTTCCTCCTCTAGTTCTTTGCAGTCATTGTTATTGATGATGCACAGATGATTAACTTTATCTGTAAAGCATTAAAGAGATATTCATGGGGTGAAATCAGTGTATAGTGCATTTCACAGACACACACACCACAATCCCCAAGTGAAACCAGGAAATCCCTCACAGCTGTTCAAATAAAAGGTCATACAAATATAAGCTTATTCCAGAGCCATAGGCACGAGTTCGGGACTCTTAAGACAAGTCCCCAAAATGCTCTTCTCCAGCCACCTTCAATCCTCTGGGACTAGGAAGTGGTATCCAGGCTGAACCCCACTGCCTCTGGTAGCAGAGTCCCTTTAAACCCTGCCCAGGGGGAGCCCTTCTGAGCCTCTTGTTTCTGTGTCAGAGAGAAGTCATGGGAAATATTGACCCTTGGGGACCAGAAGAGGTTTCTTATCTAAAATCCTTCACAGTTCTCAGGCTGTGGCTGACTGTGGGGTCTGAACCTTGTGCTCAGAGGATGATGTAAATACCTATGCCCAGAAACAGCACAGCCCCTGGATGGCATTGTTGATGGATTCACCTGGAGTCCTTACAGTGACTCCTACCTGGAAGCGGAAGTGGAAGGAGCAAAGGAGCTCTCAGAATGCAGAAATGTTTCCCTGGAATTTAATTGTTTGTTTTCAGATCTCCATCTGCTTTCTATGGCTATAGGGCTGTCTCATCTTTTCCCACCCAACACATACCTGCTCTGTCTCAGATACTGAAGAAGATTCTTCATTTAGATTGGGCCGGAGGTGGTTTAAAAGCATGGCCTCCAATGTTTTGGCTTTCCGTCACAGGTGAGACCTCTCTCCCTTTGACTCTGGAGGGTCTGTGACTGCTCTGACCAATGGAGGGTGGTGGTAGTGATCCTCTGTAACCTCCAAGGATGGGGATAGAAGGCCATGCCTACTAGAACACTCACTCTTGGAACTCTGAGCCTCCGGATTATAAGTCAACTGCCCTAGCACCACCATGCTGGGAGGAAGCCCAAGCCACACCTCAAAGCCACATAAGGGCACTCTGCTGGAGGACCCTGACCTCACATCATCCCAGTCCAAGCACCAGACATGTGAGCGAAGAAGCCTTGGGTGACTCCGGCCCTAGCTGTGTGAGTCACTGTCAGACATTCTTGTCTTCCCAGCCATGGCCTCAGGCTTTGTGGAGCAGAGATAAGCCATCCCTACTGTACCATGTTTGAATTTTGGTCCCACAGAATTCATAAGCATAATGAAATGCTTGTTGCTGTATGCCACCCGGTCTTGGGGTGGTTTGTTACACAGCTCCAGCTAACCAGAGTGCAATCCAAGCTGCTTTCTCACCCCGGCCCTCAAGGACAACCCATAGATTTCTGAGTTCAACCAACAACAGGCACCAGCACATGTCTTTCGTGTGCTAAGTACTCTGGTGGGAGGGGTTGGTATAAAGAGAATGAAAGCCCTGGCAAAGACAAAGAGTTAGAGACACCTGCCCATAGCCAAGTGCTCCTTGTTGCATATAAACAAATGAGGGTTCTGTTTGAGGAGGAGGACATGCTGCTGTAGGTGGAGCTGGGATGAGGACAGGGGTCCTTCCACTACCTGCAGATCACACAGCATCAGGGGTACTAATTGCACAAGGTTCTGGGAGTTGCAGTCCACGGCAGCAAACTCACCTGGAACACAATGTGACATGTGTTTCCTGGAGTCTGACCACCTTGCCTCTGGTAATTGACACAGAGATTGCAGTCTTCCAAAAGCTCTTCCAGAGTTCATTCTAGTCAGAATTGAAAGTACACTGCCCCTGCCCAGGTGGCAGAGACTAATCTCTGGGAATGGGAAGAACACTTTAAAAGAGGCAGGAAAAAGCACCCTAGCGGGCACCCCTGCCAACACATGTAACACATGAAGATCATGTTTGTAAATCATGACACCGCAGCAGAGAATTCAGAATCCTTCCCCATGTCCTCAGCTCTGCCCCATGGTGTCTCCCAACACCTGCCTCCTTGCAGGCAAGCCCCAGGGACGCCAAAGACACAAGAAATCCAGACAACCAGACACTCACACAGGAGTTAAAGACCAAATTCCAAGGGCTGAAGTTCTCTGGCCAACAATGACTTCACATTCTTGGGAATAAACTATTGCCCAGATGCACGAATAGATCCATGTGCAAAACAAGCACAGGGACCAAGATAGGATTTGCACAGGCAGATCCACTGTGAGACTTGGTTTCCCCCAGCCAGTTCCCCCACAGCAGATTGGACAAGCAGGGTCGCACCTGCCTGGCGGGGGATGC
The DNA here is from genome assembly GCF_000001405.40 of Homo sapiens. NCBI lineage: Eukaryota > Metazoa > Chordata > Mammalia > Primates > Hominidae > Homo > Homo sapiens. The sequence goes on from NC_000006.12 coordinate 159,446,716, forward strand.
TTTGGTTCCGCCCCAAAGTCAGTGTGTCCTCAGCAGATAACCCCAGAACGGTAATACCTTGGGGCTGCACTTACTTGGAAGTCCCACTCAAATATCTCTGTCCAGAAAACTAGCTGGCAAATATTCTTTCTCTCTGTTTTAAATTTAAAAGAAACAAATGTCTTAGAATGGTGAGAAAATATAATTCCACATTCCCTTCTATGGGTCTTTGCTTCATAGCAAACCTGAAACATTTCAGTTCTACATCTAGCATTGGCAGCTTATATCTACAGAAAAGGAAACCGAGGTGGTCATTTGGGGAGAAGTTGGTGAAAATCAAGATGCTTATAAGTAAAAATGAGATCTTTCAGCAGTGAGTTCCTTGTGGGTAGGGGTGTGTCTTGTCCCTTTTATCAATACCATTATGCCTAGCACTGAATGGGGATTGTAATAAGGATAGAATGAATGAAGAATAGCATAGCATAGCATAGCATAGCATAGCATGGCATGGCATGGCATGACATGGCATGGCACGGCACTGCATAGAATAACATGGCATAGCATAGCATAGCATAGCATAGAATAATGGGTAGATGAATGAAGAGCAAAAGAATGAGTGACAGAAGAGCAAATGATTGAATGAATGAGTGAGTGAGTGAAAAGACTAACACATACATGCATGCATAGGTGAAATGACCCTTCATAGCACCTCCTCTCCTCTGGAATCTGAATTTCAAGCCCCATTCTCTTTCTCTGGCATCACTTTAAAATTAACACTAAAACTAAGTTCATCCATTTCTCATCACCCAATCCACCTCCCTGCCCCACACAATGCGATTATTTTCTGTTGAAGTCACCACCTTTTTAGATAATTACACAGGGGGAAATCTTAGCACTTTTTTTCCCTGCTCCCTCCCCTGAACCACCACATCTGGTAAGACATCCAGCTCTCTTGATTATTCTTTCCAGTGTCTCCTGTTTCTGTCTCTTCCTTCTGTCCCATCCATCGATGGACGCTAGCACCCCACACGGGTGTCATTGCTCTGCACAGAGCTGGGTAACTGGGATCCCTCCTTGCAGTCTCTCCCACTCCTGCTCTTTACCCATGGAATAAAACCAAACCCCTTAGACAGATATTCAATGTCCTTCTAAGTCCTGTGCCCACTTACCTTTCTGATCAACCTACCTGTCCTTATTCTATTCTTGCAACTTGCCCATTCCAACTATCTCACCTATAAAAGGCATAATTTCCCTTTCTGGTCTCTTGAAGCAAAATCCACACTTGAAATTTCTGCTCAATCTCTGCCTCCCTTATGGAAATTTTCAGGATGACTACACTGGAAGAGTTCACTTTTATAAAACACCAACCCCAAAATATTCTCTCCTCCAGGATGGCCCTGGTGCTCTCACTTGGCGGTCTTACACTGCTTCGTCTTTGAGCCCTTGGTCCTTTGGGTTTTCTGTGATGTACTGGCTGGTCCATCTTAGCTTAGGTCTTATCTCTGCTCGGATACTGGCACCAGCCACAGTCAATGGCATCTTGTCTTTGATAATTATCTTATGAAATGCCCCAGTTCTGCCATTCCTCTGAGATGTCCTTTATTATATCACTGACCACACTGCACAATCTATTTGTCTTCTCCAATGGATTAGAAGCTTCTAGAGTACAATGATTCTATCTTCTTCATCTCTTATTGCCAGTAACTCTCACCGTACCTACTTCATTGCAGATGCTCAATAAATGTCTGCTGGACTGAGCAAATCATATTCTTGAAATAACCATAATGATAATTACAGTGATTATTTATTGTGTCTCTATTAGGTACAACGCTCTATAAACAGTATACCCACTAACCCTCACAGTAGTTATGCGTTATCATCTACATTCTACAGATGTGGAACTCGAGAATCTGATATTTAAAACCCTGCCTAGTGTGGAGATGGAATTCAAATCTAGACTGTTTAAGTTTACAGTCCATGCTGGCTCCTCTGCACACGCTTGTTTTTCTCATGCACAAAGAATTCCAACATTATTACACTTAAGCTTAGGTGTAGACATTTGTATGTGCAGATAGCAGAGGCACCTGTCAAGGTGATGAGATTTGAAGGAGACGCAAAGAAAAAAGAAAAAAAAAACACTAGACTTGTGCACTTTTTTTTTTTTTTTTTTTGAGACGGAGTCTGGCTCTGTCGCCCAGGCTCGGGTGCAATGGCACGATCTCAGGTCACTGCAACCTCCTCCTTCTGGGTTCAAGCAATTCTCCTGCCTCAGCCTCCTGAGTAGCTGGGATTACAGGCTTGTGCCATTATGCCTGGCTAATTTTTGTATTTTTAATAGAGATCAGGTTTCACCATGTTGGTCAGGCTGGTCTTGAACTCCTGACCTCATGATCTGCACGCCTCAGCCTCCCAAAGTGCTGGGATTACAGGCGTGAGCCACCGCGCCAGGCCAGACTTGTGCACTTGTAGCTGACAAAAGGTGTTACTATACAGAAGGTGAAATTATTGTATTGGTTCACCAACACATTGGCAAGGATATATTTGATGTCTATTTAGCATTCACTGTCATCTGGTGATAAGAGGAGCAAAAGATAGAAAGACAATAAGGATAAATTTCACCCCCTTTAACTTGAACCCTAGGATTAAATTTATACCCAGACAGATATATACCAATTTATTAATCTATAGACATTCCTATCTTCAATTATAATATTAGTTTCTTTGTTCATACATTAATCTTTGGGGAAAATGTTCAGCTGGCTTCAATTATATCTACATAACATATTTGAATTGTACAATCAATTTACATTCATATATGTAAATATATTATCAGAGACTGCATAAGAAATAGTGTGAAAGCCAGTAAATATGAAGAAAAAGTAACATAAAGTGTGAAGAAAAGCTTTAATTTTAACAGCCAGTGTGATTTACTTTTTCAAACAAATGGCTATTTAAAAATAGCTGAATGTTTCTTAACCAATAGCAAAAAAAAATGGTTAATAATTTAGTACTTGTAAACATTTTTGCTCTCTTGGTATTCTAATATATACTTTTCAAAAACGTGGTATATTTTACTGGATTGACTTAAATGACAGATAAGTCATTTAATAATATTTATAAAACATATGCTTAAAAACCTATCTGTTTCCACCAGTTTTTTGGCATATTATATTGCTATTTCCTGGAATTTTGTAAAAGTTTCAAATTTGTTCAACCAGAGATGACAGAAACCATTACTTTATATGTATGCAAGTGGCTGACTTTAAAAGCCATTGTCTATATAGTGAATAACGAAGTAAATGTTATAAGAACTGAATGCAGAGATTGATCATGAAGAAACTTAGAATGCAAAAGTAGAAGGTAACATTGGGATGCAAAATTAGAATGCAACATTGGGATGCAAAATTTTGCATTATGTTGCAAAAATAATTTCAAAATACACAGTCCTTCTCTTTATGCTGTGATCTATACTAAATGTAGGCACTTTGTGCCCTAAACTGGCCCTTAATCTAAATCAGGATCCACTCTGTGCTCACTGTAGGCACCCTCATGTAAGCATCACTTTTCACTCCTAAAAGAGGTTCAAATCATGAAACTGTTCATGACTCGATTACTTGATTCTGTCTGATGCATGGGCAGATTTGGGCACAGGCTAGAGAACTGTAATAAGCATCCCCTAAAGCTCCTACTAACTTGGAAGCACTATGATTTATTCACCTATAACTCCTGAGCCCGCACATGACAGCAAAATATGACTCTATGCCTTGCCATGAACTGGAGCTCTTGTTACGAGTATTGATATTAATCATACATGCTTGTCTGGAAGATTGCATGTTTTCAAAGGACTTTTGGATTTGCTATTTATAGCAATAAATTGCTAGACACTGGAACATATGCCTAGAGTCTTAGTGTTACCAGTGTCCATCTTGTCTGGCAACCAAAGAAAGATGCTAATAATTCAGATAAAACCCTAAAAGTGGCAAGAAGCGCTGACAGTTTTCAGAGTTGGGAAAGAAAAGAGGCAGAAGGAAGACTTTGAAGCAGATTTAGGGAATATAGTCTAAGGGTCAGAGTAGTACACAGTGGATTTTTCTCTTGGCCCAGCAAGGAGGCAGTAACAAGCAAGGAAACTGCAGGGTAAAACCACAGGGACTTGGGACCCTTGTGCCTGAGGTCTTAGGTTGTGCCCACAGGATACTGTCCGGAAAATGCCTTTGAAACAGGAGGAGATGTTCTCTTTCCAGGACAGTCTTGCCCTGGCACAGGCTGGCCTGCCACCTCCTCAGTTTGCTCCTGGTTGAGCACTGAGTGAGTCTGTGAATTGCACATGAATGACCCCAGACAGGGGAGCATCCTGGCCACCAGTGGTGAATGTTTACACTGCTTATAAAATCTGGACCTCTGGGCAGAATGCCTCATGTACCAATCTTTAAAATTATGTTAATTGCAGAAAAAAAGTAAACATCTTCAGCAGAGAGAAAAGTGCCTCTACCACCCTAGGCTGTCTGCACAGAACTTGTGCCTGTGGCAACTTCTCTCAAAACTGTATATTGCAGATCTGTTTACAGCACGCTGTACATTCTGTTTAGTCAAGTCAATGGAATGCAGTGCTTGGAGGGCCTGAGTGGGATGCTGTCTCTCGCAGTACTTGGTGCTAACATGTTGATGCTGTTGTGTGATTAAGTCAATACAGACTTCTTAGAAGGAAAAAAATTCTTATTATGGAACATGTCAAACACAGACAAAAGGAGAGAAAATATGATAGTGAGCCTGTGTTTACCCATTATCCAGTTTTAACAACTATTTCAATATTTTTCTGATCTTTCTTTGTTCTCTCTCTCACATAGACACACGCACACACACTCTCTCATACACACTCTCTCTCTCTCTCTCTCTCACACACACACACTTTTTTCTGGACTATTTTAAAACACATTTTAAATATCATGTCATTTTGCTGTAAATAGTTCGGAAGTCCTAATTGATATCATTTTTTAAACATAATCACACCTAACAAAATTAACAAGGATTCCTTATCACCAGTTAATATCCACTTATATTCGCATTTCCTCAATTGTCTCAGAGCTAGGGTTTTTTTTACAGTTAGTGTGTTCGAATCAAGATTTGAATGTAGCACATGTTGCTTACAGCTGTTATGTCTAATACAGAGACTTCTTAAAGTTCTTCTTTCCCATTGACTTCTTTAGGTTCTCATGTTAAAACCAAAGGGTCAGGCATGGTGGCACACACCTGTAGTCCCAGCTACTCAGGAGGCTGAGGCAGGAGAATCACTTGAGCCCAGGAGGTCAAGGTTGCAGTGAGCTGAGATCACACCAGTGCACTCAGCCTGGGCAACAGAGAGAGAGATCCTATCTCAAGCAAACAAACAAACAATCCCATCCCCCACAAACAAAACAAAACAAAAAAGCCCACAAAGGACAGAACAGCCTAGGGTTTATATTTTGTTATGGGTTGGTGATCCTTTAAACTGCTCAAAGCTGAGCTCAATCTGTGTTCCCTTCGAAATGTTTGGGAAACTAAGCACCGTTTGAATGAAATTTCAGAGCACTTTGGTCTTCTGCTCTCCCTCACCTTTTGCTCTGTTTCCATTTTTCTACCAAGTACTTCCATTTGTTCTTCTTGGCTTCCAATCTTTGACTTCTAGGGCCTCGTACATTTTTCCATTTTCCCATCCTTCATGCAACATCTCTTCATCCTGTCAAATCTCAGTGGCTTCACACTCCAACCTCCAAAAGAGCTGGGCCCTGTCACCTAGGCCATCGCTTGGTCAGGTCAGCAGTAGTCTGTGCTGCCAGGAAACGTTACCCTCCTGTTCAGGCTTCTAGAATCTCTGTACTTTGCCAAAGAGGGCAAGAGGCAGGGAGGACATTTGTACTTAAAAATATGCTGTTTGTTGACTGGGGAGATGGGACCCAAACAGGGTTTTCTGTCTTCTCTCAACATACCAGTGGGCTCTGCCCACTGACCCTGTCCCCTGGGGGCTGCCGGCTACAGAGTCTGCTCACACTCCACCTTCATGGGGCTCAAAGTCCAGGCGGTTCAAGACTGAAAACTTTGTGTTCAAAGGAAGCAGGGACATTCTTTGCCAAGGAGGCCTGTGAATTTATATATGAGACTCTGCGGTGGCTAACACATCTCAGTGCTAGGGAAAAGCCCTAGCAGCACTGAATAGAAGAGAGAAGCACGCCGGATGTGGGCAGTGGAGGACATCTGCTGAGTGGGGCTGCACATGAAGCAGAGTCCACTGGGATCCACTTCCCTCCTCCTTCCCCAGTGATTGGCTTCTCCTGGAAACAAAACAACAAAGCAGATCACAGAAGACGCAAAGGAGGTACCCTTGTGGCAACATAGTTCACCACCTGTCCACATGGTACAGGTGGTAAAGACAGGAGACAGGGAAATACCTGGCAGAAGAGGACTACAAGGCTTGTGTACTACAAAGCTACAGTAACCAAAACAGCATAGTACTGGTACCAAAACAGATATACAGACCAATGGAACAGAACAGAGGCCTCAGAAACAACACCACATGTCTACAAACATCTGATCTTCGACAAACCTGACAAAAACACGCAATGGGGAAAGGATTCCCTATTTAATAAATGGTGTTGGGAAAACTGGCTAGCCATATGCAGAAAATTGACCCTGGACCCTTTCCTTGCACCTTATACAAAAATTAACTCAAGATGGATTAACGACTTAAATGGAAAACCTAAAACCATAAAAACCCTAGAAGAAAACCTAGGCAATACCATTCAGGACATAGGCATGGGCAAAGACTTCATGACTAAAACAACAAAGCAATGGCAACAAAAGACAAAATTGACAAATGGGATCTAATTAAACTAAAGAGCTTCTGCACAGCAAAAGAAACTAATATCAGAGTGAACAGGCAACCTACAGAGTGGTAGAAAATTTTTGCAATCTATCCATCTCACAAAGGTCTAATATCCAGAATCTACAAGGAACTTAAACAAATTAAAAGAAAAGAAAAAACAATCCCATCAAAAAGTGGGCGAAGGATATGAACAGATCCTTCTCGAAAAAAGACATTTATGTGGCCAACAAACGTATGAGAAAAAGTTCATCATCACTGGTCATTAGAGAAATGCAAATCAAAACCACAACGAGATACCATCTCACGCCAGTTAGAACGGTGACCATTAAAAAGTCAGGAAACAACAGATGCTGGAGAGAATATGGAGAAATAGGAACACTTTTACACTGTTGGTGGCAGTGTAAATTAGTTCAACCGTTGTGGAAGACGGTGTGGTGACTCCTCAAGGATCTAGAACAAGAAATACCATTTGACCCAGCAATCCCATTACTGGTTATATACCCAAAGGATTATAAATCATTCTACTATAAAGACACATGCATACGTATGTTTATTGCAGCACTATTCACAATAGCAAAGACTTGGAACCAACCCAAATGCCCACCAATGATAGACTGGATAATGAAAATGTGGCACATATACACCATGGAATACTATGCAGCCATAAAAATGAATGAGTTCATGTCCTTTGCAGGGACATGGATGAAGCCGGAAACCATCATTCTCAGCAAACTAACACAGGAACAGAAAACCAAACACCGCATGTTCTCACTCATAAGTGGGAGTTGAACAATGAGAACCCATGGACACAGGGAGGGGATCATCACACACAGGGGCCTGTTGAGGTGGGGGACTAGAAGAGGGAAAGCATTAGGACAAATACCTAATGCATGTGGGGCTTAAAACCTAGATGATGGGTTGATGGGTGCAGCAAACCACCATGGCACATGTATACCTATGTAACAAATGTGTTCCAGAACTTAAAGTATAATTTTAAAAAATGGTTACGATGGCAAACTTAATGTTATGTGTTTTTTACAATATGAATAAATAAATAACTCATTTCAAGCAATCTTATTCTGATTTGGCCCTGATTCCTAAATAAATACCTACTACAGTTCTGCAGTTTTCATTTTTACACTACTCAAACTTTTTCTAAATCAAGAAACTGAAAATTCCTCATCTCTGAGCTTCTGTGTCACCAAAGTTAGTTGACATTTTTGGTATTGTTGGGTTTTTCAAAATCTATATTTTGCTGGAGCTCAGAGAAATTATCCTTTTGAAATCTAAACTGCTTTCTTGTATACAGTTTCCCAGATATCTCCATCTTATTAATGAAGGGAGCAGGGCATTGAATATTTAGCATTTATTAACTTCTATCTCTAAAAGAAATCCAAATTTGGAACTTTCTGGAATTTCTTAGAGACATGTTTTCCAAAGCCATAAATATTTTCTAAATCCTCTACTAGTTTCCTAATGCATTGAGCGGGTATCACAAAAATGCCAGATTCTACTTTAATCTGTAAATGTTTTCCAAATGGCTGCTCATTGAGTCTATTAGGAGCTATGCCTGGGAAATGCCCACTTAGCAGTGGGGCTGGGAGAGCTGGGTCAGGACCCTCTATCTCATTCTGAGGATTCTTCTAGAACAAAGATACCTAAGGCTGAAAATAGGATCCAAGCAAGTGCATCTCCTGAGTAAAGGCAAGGGGTGCAGCGACAGCCAAGAGGCGCAGAAACCTCCCCCAACCACTGAGGCTGGACAGCCAAGGGGGCCGAGAAGGAGCCAGGGGAGGAGTTCTCAACTTGTCACTGGACAGCTGTGCCTCTGAATCACTTGAGAGCTTCTCAGAAAGGGACGCCTGAGCCCACTGGTCAACACCTTGTCAACTGGAGCTGAGGTGTGTCCCTGTGTATTTAGAAAGCCACATGGGGTGATTCTGATGCACAGAATTAGCTGCACTAGGGCCTGTGGTCCTCTGTGGCACTCTTTGTAAAGGGATAAGGCAACATCCCAGCCTGCACTTCATGTCTGCCTAGGAAATCTACAAAAGTGTGGTTCTTCTCCAGCAGCAGCACCAGCACTGCCTGGGAGCATCACCACCACCCAGGAACACCACCACCCAGGAGTACCACCACCACCGAGGAGCACCACCACTACCAGGGAGCATCACCACCTCCCCGGAGGATCACCATCACCAAAGAGCACGACCACCACCTGGGAGCATCACCACCACCTGGGAGCACCACCACCACCCGGGAGCACCATCACCAGGGAGTGTCACCACTGCCCAGAAGCACCACCACCACCACCCGGGAGCACCACCACCACCACCGCCCAGAAGCACCACCACCACCACCCGGGAGCACCACCACCACCACCGCCCAGGAGCATCACCACCACTCAGGAACACCACCACCTGGGAGCACTACCACCACCAGGGAGCGTCACCACCACCAGGGAGAGTCACCACCGCCCAGGAGCACCACCACTACCGGGGAGTGTCACCACCACCCATGAGCAGCATCACCACCACCCGGGGAGCACCACCACCACCCGGGGAGCACCATCACCACCCGGGGAGCACCACCACCCGGGGAGCTTCACCACCACCACCTGGGAGCGTCACCACTGCCCAAGAGCACTACCATGACCCAGGAGCTGGGTGGAAATGCAGAATCTTAGGCTCCAGCCACATCTTTTCAAGCTGCTTGGGTGATTCTTGTGAATGTTGAACCTTGAGAAGTGCTGAACTACGCCATTTTAATGTTATTTTTGTACTAGCAGTTCCTTTATTTGAAGCTTTCTAAAAATAAAGGACACTATTTGAAATATGGTTGCCTAATTTAGCTATGTCGGTCAAGGGATGCCACTCCCAGAAAAAAAGTAGTTTCCATCCTCATTTCCTGTTGCCAAACTGATAAAATGCTGAAGTCAGGAAAAGCTGTTTTCTCTAGTTAACTTTGTCCCTTGGCCCTGATGATCCTGGAGACTTCCGAGTTATTGCTTAAAAAAAAAAAAAAAAAAAAAAAAAACCATAGAAACCCCACCCTAATACTGTCCCAAAAGCCAAGAAGATAGTTATTTGTACATGGGAATGTTGAAAGCATTACCCTGCTTCCTTTAAAATTTTATTTTCCCTTCACATCCAGATATAGCCCAGGAAATAATTCATTTTGAAGTTTTTCAAAAGTTTCCAATTAAAAAATCTTGGAAAGTAGTTGACCTATATTTACTGTAACCATATTTTCCAAATAAAATTCCAGACACATGGTCTGATAAGTATGTGTGTACTTACCACAATGTTTAAAGTGCATTGCTTTTTTTCCTTCTTGAAAAAGTAATCCACGTTCATTTTAGAGACTTTAAAAAGGTCAAAGAAGAAACTAAAAACATCTGCAGTCCCACTACCCAGAAATAACCATTATTAACATTTTCATTCATATTTCTTTTCCATCTTTATCAGTAATACGGGATAATTTTTTTAATTATTATTATACTTTAAGTTTTAGGGTACATGAGCACAACGTGCAGGTTTGTTACATATGTATACATGTGCCATGTTGGTGTGCCGCACCCATTAATTCGTCATTTAACATTAGGTATATCTCTTAATGCTATCCCTCCCCTCTCCCCCAACCCCACAACAGTCCCCGGTGTGTGATGTTCCCCTTCCTGTGTCCATGTGTTCTCATTGTTCAATTCCCACCTATGAGTGAGAACATGCGGTGTTTGGTTTTTTGTTCTTGTGATAGTTTGCTGAGAATGATGGTTTCCAGCTTCATCCATGTCCCTACAAAGGACATGAACTCATCATTTTCTATGGCTGCATAGTATTCCATGGTGTATATGTGCCACATTTTCTTAATCCAGTCTATCGTTGTTGGACATTTGGGTTGGTTCCAAGTCTTTGCTATTGTGAATAGTGCCGCAATAAACATAGATGTGCATGTGTCTTTATAGCAGCATGATTTATAATCCTTTGGGTATATACCCAGTAATGGGATGGCTGGGTCAAATGGTATTTCTAGTTCTAGATCCCTGAGGAATCGCCACACTGACTTCCACAATGGTTGAACTAGTTTACAGTCCCACCAACAGTGTAAAAGTGTTCCTATTTCTCCACATCCTCTCCAGCACCTGTTGTTTCCTGACTTTTTAATGATCGCCATTCTAACTGGTGTGAGATGGTATCTCATTGTGGTTTTGATTTGCATTTCTCTGATGGCCAGTGATGATGAGCATTTTTTCATGTGTTTTTTGGCTGCATAAATGTCTTCTTCTGAGAAGTGTCTGTTCATATCCTTCACCCACTTTTTGATGGGGTTGTTTGTTTTTTTCTTGTGAATTTGTTTGAGTTCATTATAGATTCTGGATATTAGCCCTTTGTCAGATGAGTAGATTGCAAAAATTTTCTCCCATTGTGTAAGTTGCCTGTTCACTCTGATGGTAGTTTCTTTTGCTGTGCAGAAGCTCTTTAGTTTAATTAGATCCCATTTGCCAATTTTGGCTTTTGTTGCCATTGCTTTTGGTGTTTTAGACATGAAGTCCTTGCCCATGCCTATGTCCTGAATGGTATTGCCTAGGTTTTCTTCTAGGGTATTTATGGTTTTAGGTCTAACATGTAAGTCTTTAATCTATCTTGAATTAATTTTTGTATAAGGTGTAAGGAAGGGATCCAGTTTCAGCTTTCTACATATGGCTAGTCAGTTTTCCCAGCACCATTTATTAAATAGGGAATCCTTTCCCCATTTCTTGTTTTTGTCAGGTTTGTCAAATATCAGATAGTTGTAGATATGCGGCATTATTTCTGAGGGCTCTGTTCTGTTCCATTGGTCTATATCACTGCTTTGGTACCAGTACCATGCTGTTTTGGTTACTGTAGCCTTGTAGTATAGTCTGAAATCAGGTAGCATGATGCCTCCAGCTTTGTTCTTTTGGCTTAGGATTGACTTGGCAATGCAGGCTCTTTTTTGGTTCCTTATGAACTTTAAAGTAGTTTTTTCCAATTCTGTGAAGAAAGTCATTGGTAGCTTGATGGGGATGGCATTGAATGTAGAAATTACCTTGGGCAGTATGGCCATTTTCACTATATTGATTCTTCCTACCCATGAGCATGGAATGTTCTTCCATTTGTTTGTATCCTCTTTTATTTCATTGAGCAGTGGTTTGCAGTTCTCCTCGAAGAGGTCCTTCGCATCCCTTGTAAGTTGGATTCCTAGGTATTTTATTCTCTTTGAAGCAATTGTGAATGGGAGTTCCTCGTGGTTTGGCTCTCTTTTGTCTGTTATTGGTGTATAAGAATGCTTGTGATTTTTGCACATTGATTTTGTATCCTGAGACTTTGCTGAAGTTGCTTATCAGCTTAAGGAGATTTTGGGCTGAGACGATGGGGTTTTCTAGATATACAATCATGTCATCTGCAAACAGGGACAATTTGACTTCCTCTTTTCCTAATTGAATGCCCTTTATTTCCTTCTGCTGCCTGATTGCCCTGACCAGAACTTCCAACACTATGTTGAATAGGAGTGGTGAGAGAGGGCATCCTTGTCTTGTGCTCAGTTTTCAAAAGGAATGCTTCCAGTTTTTGTCCATTTAGTATGATATTGGCTGTGGGTTTGTCATAGATAGCTCTTATTATTTTGAGATACGTCCCATCAATACCTAATTTATCGAGAGTTTTTAGCATGAAGAGCTGTTGAATTTTGTCAAAGGCCTTTTCTGCATCTATTGAGATAATCATGTGGTTTTTGTCTTTGGTTCTGTTTATATGCTGGATTAATACAGGATAATTTTTATCCACTTGACTATCACACTGTATATATAATTTTTCATCCTGAACTTTTCAATTAAAGCTATGTTACAAGGATTTTATCACATCATTAAATATTCTTTGTGGAGTTTCTTTTTAATGGCTGCATAATATTCTATCTCTGCATATACAGCAAAGATAGAATATATAATTATTTTTACCCACTACACATATCATCAAACATGTAGTTGCCATCTTTTTTTTACTATTATTAAAAATACCGTGGTAAACATTGTTATATATACATCTTTGTTCACAGTTTTGGAAATTTCCACTGTGTGATCAAGAAGAAGAAATACTGCATAATAGGATAAAAACATTTTAAATCTCTTGATATGCATCACCAACTTAAAAAACAGAAATGTACTAATTTGTACTTCACACCTGTTTCTCAAGAAAATATTTTAGATTAGTACTGTTCCAGAAAATTTGGAAGGTTTAAAATATATATTTATAGAGTAATTATTATGTGCCAGCCACTGTGCTAAGTGCTTAATATGTATTGTGTCATTTACTCCTTGCAAAACTGCCATGAGTAGGGACGAGGTGCTATTATAATTCCCATTTTAAACACAAACAGTTAAGCAACAAGCCCAAGGTTGTACAGCCAATTCACTGTGAAGCTAAAAGCTGATGGCAGAGTGAATTCAGTGTAGGCCTTGTTTTTTCTGACTCCAATAGTTATGCTCTGCTCCGTCCACTCTGGGTGGCTTCTGCAACAAGGATCCCAGCTCAGAGTCTGCCACAAGGGTCAGGAACCCTCATGAGAGAGCCTGTGCTGCCCATCATGCCCTAGGACAGACAGTTGACCCTGGGGCCAAGAGCTCTGCACAAGGACCTAGAGGCACCCCTGGTTAATGACATGCTTTCAGTGATGCTGGCAAGCTTTGGAAGTGGCAAAGAAAAATGATGCCCTGGGGAGCCAGCAGGATCACTGTGGTCACTTGCAAACATGTGAGATGCTGGGAGCCCTTTGTATAGAAGCAAGGGACTGCGTGGAAGGAGTGGGAGGTAGTGGGGATTCAGAAATGGAACTTGTGTGCCCAGAGGCTGTCGGCAATCCCATTGAAGCCAAAGCCACCGTGGCCTAGGGAAAAGTGACTTCCGTCTTTCCTTTTTAGGTAAATTGATGTGGGGCTATTCAGGGCACCCCCGCCTCCAATTCCACACATTGTGTAGGCAGCTCATGGCCTCAGGCATGGATGGGGCTTGAAACCCAGCCCAAGCATTATTTGCCAAGCAGGGTGTCGGCAGAGCTGTCTCCACCTCGCACTGGGCCTTTGACCTCATACCCTCCCCTCCCTACCTGCTCCTGCAGCTCCAGCCACGCTGGCCCCCTTGCTACTCCTCCAAGGATGAGGCTTACCCTGGATGCAGGGTAAGAGCCTGCATCTCTGGCTCTTCTCTCTGCCTGGAAAACTTGTTCCTATCTCCCAGGTCAAGTCCTTTTCCAATGCCTCCTTCTCTAGATCATCCTGTGAACAATTACAATCCCAATCCTCCCACCCACTCCCCTTAGGGGAACAGCGATCTGTGTTTATTAATCTGTTCCAAGGACCTAGAACACTCCTGGAAAATAGTAGCTCTCAGTAAATGTGTTGCATTGAGCAAAATCACTAAATGGGCGAACAGTGGATTTAGTTTTACAATGGAAGAACTAAAGCCTGAGAGGCAAAGTGACTTTGACCAAGATCGCTTACAGATTTTCTTTCCCCTAAGTGCCCTAACTTCCACAGCTAGCCTTGAAGTCCTTCAGTTCAGCCCAAACAAAACTCTCCCCCAGTGATGCTAATCTCAGATAGGTACAGATCTGGTAAAGCAACTGGAAAAAGGTAGGAATCACAAATAAGCATAACTCAGGCAGTAAGTTTTAGACACATATGCAATGCATGAGAAATAAAACTATCTCTTCTGAGCAGCAGGCAGATTCGTATACCTTCTCTTTCCTACCCTCCCAAGAACAACTATTCAAAAACAACAAAGCCACCAGGAGGCCAAGTCCCCAGAAACCACATGATTTAATAGCTCAGATCCATCTCTAACCCATCCCCTCCTCTCTGTAAACAGCCCCACACTGGCAGAGATCATTCCAAGCGATGAGACGAAGCGAGCTGCCCCAGGGAATGTTCGAAACCACAGCTTGTTAGGAATGCCCAATACAGTGAACACCTCTGTGAAATATTTCCCTCTCTCACCAAGCATTTGCAGAGAACAAACAGACAATACATAATTTTGGAGCAGATTTATTTTTTTCCATGATCTTTGCTCTCTTTTAACAAGCAACCTGTTGTGTATGTTAGCTTAAAATAAAATCAAATCCTGACAATGATTATCAAAATCTAGAACCCCAAGTATAAAAGCTATCTCTCAGTAAGCAGTATTCTGGGATTTCAAATACAAGGTCCATAGATCCTCAAGGGATCCTTGCATGGAATTCAGTGGTCTGTGGACCCTCTAAAATTGTATACAAACTTTTGTGGCTATATGAATATCCACACAGTCTTTGAAATTCAAAATTAGGTACCACATTTTAATACCTTATCAAAATTTTTGATACCAAAACCTAATTTACAACATATTAAATTTTCTCTTGTGGGGGTGCTGTTATCAAGACACAATACCCTAGCTAAATAAACATTTAGTTTGGTTAACCACACAGAGGACATAATAAATTAATTTCCCAATTGCTATTCCATGCTGTTGACAAAATTATCAGTTTGGTCTTTAACTCTCTCTCTCTCTCTCTATCAGTTAGCCTTGTGCAAAACACTATTTTGCAAAGCAGATATTTTTAACCACACTTTGCAGATGTGAAACCTGAGACTCAGAGAGGTAGTAAGTTATTGGGGCCCTCCGCTGGTAAATAGAGGGACCAAGATCCTAAAACCAGCCTATTGGGTCCTGAAGCCTGTGTCTCTTCAGTGAGGCAAACCACTATCTGTTGAAATTTATAATTTGTTTCCTGAAATGAAGAATTTCAGTCCAAGATTTTCCTTTAGTGGTGGGATGGTTAAACAAGTATATTTCACACCAGCAATTACATTCGTGAAATATTTTTAAATATTGGTGGTTCTGACATGGTAAAAGTCGTTATAATGTATTTTTTCTAATTTTAGCTCTGAACAATCAATTAATGGCAGCCTAAAATGCGGCTGTAACCCAGTTTAGAACTTTCCAAGAATCCTCCCATTGGAGCCAGATGAAGCAGCCTAATGTAGCAAATGAGAACTTCTGAGTCCAGAGCGGGGCAAGCTCCAATCTGCCAATAGCCTTGCCAAGAGAGCTGGAGGAAGTGGGGGAGTCACGTAACCGCCTACCTCCTCTTTCCCAAAACAGGAGCCACATACCAACCTCTCAGCAGGGTGGGTTGGGGCCACAAGACTTAGGGCCTACCTCTCCTCGGTGGCCAATGACATTTAAAGAAAACAGTTGACTGCATCTGTGAAGATGTCATAACGTGGAGCTTCCCTGGGAGAAAATAATTTGGGAAGGGAGGGAGACATTACTGATATCTTTAAAACACAGAGTGTTCAAAATGAGAGAACCACGTGCTTCTCTCCATACCACTGGGGTGGTTTTGGTGCCCGTCTTTGGTGTGCATTGCGGGTCTTTGTGGGGCCTGTGGTAACAACTCATGATTCATCAACTACAAGTTACCATCACAATTTCCAAGTCATTGGGAAGTATTTCATCCCCCAGAGCGGCAATTTTCTCCATCAGCAAGAGAATCAAAAGGAAGTGGGAACATCTGGCTCGATATGAAAGCCTGAGAGTGCCCCGACATACACAGGCTACGGAGAAGTCGGCCCCTTGCAGATATTGGAAAGCAAAGCTCCGTCTACCTTCGCCAGCCACAGTTTCCAGCATCGCTTCCAAAAATCAATCTTGCATATTTGCTGGCGGACCCACTTCTAAGTGATTGGATTCTAGCACACTCCAATCAAGCATCAGCTTTGGTTCTTATGACGCAGTCACTAACATCACACACGACCAAAACAGCAGGGCGCTCTCTCAAGTCTCCTCTTACTGTGCCATCGTGGGGAACAGTCTCATGTGAGTGCAGGCGTGGGCCGGCTTCCCTTAGTTGGGAAGGGAGGGAGATATTATTCATATCCTCTCCACAGTGCACTCGCTTCTTCATGCTCATGTAGAAACACAGACATGTGCCTGTGGCTAGAACTCTTATCCAGGTTGATTTAACCTAGAGAAATGACGCTTTAATGTCACCATCAAAAAGCTAACCAATAGTTCTTAATGGAGGGATTACTGCCCCCTAGAGAGCATTTTGGAAATGTGTAGGGGCTTTATTTTACTTTATTTATGTATTTATTTGAGAGGGAGTTTTGCTCTTTCGCCCAGGCTGGAGTGCAGTGGCACGATCTCGACTCACTGCAACCTCCGCCTTACGGTTTCAAGTGATTCTCCTGCCTCAGTCTCCCGAGTAGCTGGCATTACAGGCTTCCACCACCACGCCTGGCTACTTTTTGTATTTTTAGTAGAGACAGGGCTTCACCATGTTGGCCAGGCTGGTCTCGAACTCCTGACCTCGTGATCCACCCACTTGGGCCTCCCAAAGTGCTGGGATTACAGGCGTGAGCCACCGCGCCTGGCCCTGTTTTACTTTATTGATAGTCATGAAGATGGGGTGTGACCTCATTTAGTGGGTGGAGGCCTGGAATACTAGAGGGCCCACAATGCAGAAGACGATCTTGTGGAACTTTTCAATGTCCCACCAGACAGTTATGCAGGTGACAAACTTGTTTATAATTTTCTGAGCCTGGAACCCAACTCCACTTTTACATATAACTACAAATTATTTACAGTTAGGATGGAGAATCACTCTTCTAGCACATAATTAGGGGTTCTAGGAATGTCTGGTGTCAGCCAGGAAAGGGTCCAAGCTCTGAAACGAAATCATCAGGCTTTGAAATTGGGCTCTTCCATTTACCAATCTGTGCCTCAGTTTCCTCCTCTGTCAAATGGGGCTCACAACAGCACCTGCTTCATGAGATGTGAGAATTAAATTAATGCATATTAAGCCCTTAGAACAGTGCCAGTTGTTTCTCACCTTGTGACAACGAAAGAAATATTAGAAAAATATTCAGTATAATCCCATTCCTCTGAAACAGCATCCAAATGTCACCTGTTAGTAACATCTCTAAGATGAGAGAATGTTCTAATTTAACACTGCTATTTTCCTTCAAGGTGGCAAACAACAATCATTCACATTTTTACATCTTTTAGTAGAGTTCTTGATTTAGTAAAAATCAGACTTAGGTCAAGTTGGACATTACTGAACTGCTGGCCACACTGCAAGCCCAGGTTAGAGCTGGAGTCAGTCCCAGAGAGACTGGAAGGAGAAA